>NC_000010.11:57567337-57718852 GCF_000001405.40 Homo sapiens
CAGTAGCTAAGTAGTAGCTATAGTAAGACTTACTTTCAACAAAAAATGTTCCTAAATTTTTACTTCAGTACACACTGCATTATAAATGCATTTCTTGTCGGCATATTAAAGGTTACATCTCAACCAAATTGGTGGTGACTTTGTTACTGTTGCTGAATACCAGATTAGGGTTCCTGTGAACATAGTCTCTGCTATTTAATATCCTGCACATGAAGCTGATAAAAAATTTACAAATTCCAAAATTTGTTGATTTGATTTATTTGTGACATCAAACTCATCTAGCAATACCTATTTAATATATTCTCATTTAATTGACCATGATTATTAATTGGCTATTGTCTAAAGTAATACACATTTCAAGATTATTTTGTTATTTGTGGCATATGGGATGACACAAAGTACCAGGTTTGGAACAAGGGAGGCCATCTTACATGTTTATGAATGGTTAAACAAAATAATTAAAGCCTTTTGTACAAAGTACCAAGATGTGGATTAAATTCAAACTAAAGAAAATACTTTGTATTACCTAAGTTGATATAAAGTACCCAGATATTTGAAAATGCAAACCAAAACCACAATGATACCATCTCACACCAGTCAGAATGGCTATCATTAGAAAGTCAAAAAACAACAGATGATGGCGAGGCTGCAGAGAAAAGGGAATGCTTATACACTGTTGGTAAGAATATAAATTAGTTCAGCCACTATGAAAAGCAGTTTGAAGATTTCTCAAAGAACTTAAAATAGAACTACCATTTGAACCCGCAATCCCATTACTGGCTATATATTCAAAAGAAAACAAATTGTTCTATCAAAAGGACTCACGTATTCATCGTAGCGCTATTCACTATAGCAAAGACATGGAATCAACCTAGGTGTCCATCAATGGTGGACTGGATAGAGAAAATGTGGTACATATACACCACAGAATACTATGTACTCATAAAAAAGAATGAAATCATGTCTTTTGCAGTAACATGGATATAGGTGGAGGCCATTATCCTAATTGAATTAACATCAGAACAGAAAACCAAATACCACATGTTCTTACTCATATATGGGAGCTAAACACTGGGAACTCATGGACATAAAGATGGCAACAATAGACACTGGGGACTACTAGAAGGAGGAGTAGGGGAGAGGTCAAGGGTTAAAAATCTAACTGCTTTGTACTATACTCAGTACCTGGGTGACAGAATTCATAATCCAAACCTCAGCATTATGCAATATACCCAGGTAACAAACCTGCATATATACCCTCTGAATCTAAAATAAAAGTTAAAAAAAAAACATGTATATATATATAATGTATTTTATATATATATCATGTATTTATATATATATATCATGTATTTATATATATATACCACAGAGAGTGATGTCAGTGAAGATGGTAGAGTAGCAAGTGCCAGGAATCTGTCTTTTTACCTGGACAACAACTATACTGGCAGAAATGGTCTGACATGATTATTTTGGAATGCTGGAGTTTATTTAAACACTTGCAGCTTCCAGGGGAAAACATTGCTTATAAATTGCTGTTAATTTCAGCCCATTTCAGCCATTAGCTTATTTCCACCCCTCACTTCCTTAGAATGCAGCTGTGGGTATCCAATCTCATCTCTACCATGGATTGATGGAGTCAGGGTGAGCAAAACAGATGTTCTCTTCCAACTATCAGGGTTCCATGTTCTGCTTGTGAATTGATGCTTCTAATGGCTAAGGTGCAAGCAAGCTGACTGACCAGCATGTAATGAAAAATTGATCAAAGAACAAAACTTTAGAGGTAAAACTATAGATATTAATGTGACACCAAAAGCACAGGCAGTAGCAACAATATCAAAAATAGATAAATTAGACCATATCAAAATTAAGAACTTTTATACATCAATGTACACTATCAAAAAATCGAAAAGACTACCTACTTACAGAGTGAATGGGAGAAAATATTTGCAAATTATTTATCTGATAAGTAATTAACATCTAGAATATATAAAAAACTTCTACAACTCAACAACAAACAACCCAATCAAAAAATAGACAAAGATTGCTACCACAAAATATAACAGATCATAAGAGGCCACAATGAAAAATTACATGGCAACAACTGGATAAACTAGAAGAAATGGAAAAATTCCTAGAAACAAGCCATCATAAAGAAACGCATACACAGTCTCTTTTCCCATGTAAAGTAATAAATTTACAGATTCAGGAAATTAGGGCATGGACATATTTGAGAGTTCATTATTACCCCACTATAAGCACATAAAGATATGAATTTTTTTTTTTTTTTTTTTTTTTTTTTGAGACGGAGTCTCGCTCTGTCATCCAGGCTGGAGTGCAGTGGCACGATCTCAGCTCACTGCAAGCTCCACCTCCCGGGTTCATGCCATTCTCGTGCCTCAGCCTCGCGAGTAGCTGGGACTACAGGCGACCGCCACCACATCCAGCTAATTTTTATATTTTTAGTAGAGACGGGGTTTTACCGTGTTAGCCAGGATGGTCTCAATCTCCTGACCTTGTGATCCGCCCACCTCGTCCTCCCAAAGTGCTGGGATTACAGGCGTGAGCCACCGCACCTGGCCAAGACATGAAATTTTTAACTGAGAAAACGATACCTATGTAAGCAGTTAGTTTGATTTGGCCTAATGATTATAGCATTCAAATGAGTAAAATAAGTTCTTGCCTAGGTTAATTAAGCCATCTTTTTGGCTCTGATAATTACTGCAAATTAATTGTGCTTATAAATTGTTTTGGGCACTTTGGCTTTTTCTTATACAGTGCAATCTATGCTATGACACAGTAATCAATAAATGGTAATGAGATAACCATAGACAAATGCTTAACTTGAAACTTCTAGAAAAAGACAGATACAATAACAATATCAATAAGATTAATCTCTTTGGAAAATAGTTATTGTTACCACACACATTTCAATTTTGTGTATTTAACTTCTGCTAATAACCAACATCTATTTTTTATTTATGATACATGACACATAAGGCTATTATTTTTTTGAGAGAGAGTGTCACTCTGTTGCCCAGGCTGGAGTGCAGTGGTACAATCTTGGCTCACTGCAACCTCCACCTCTGGGATTCAAGCAATTCTCGGGCCTCAGCCTCTTGAGTAGCTGGGACTACAGGTACTCACCACTATACCTGGCTAATTTTTGCTTTCTTAGTAGAGACAGGGGTTCCCCCATGTTGCCCCAGGCTGGTCCTGAACTCCTGACCTTCAGTGATCCACCCACTTCAGCCTCCCAAAGTTTTCAGATTACAGGCGTGAGCCACTGCAACCAGGCTCCATTGAACATTTATGCTTTTCTTAAGCATTAATCATTAAGGCTTTTCTTAAGCTTTCCAGCATAAAAGTGTATATTTTAACCATGAAAGTATTGTTTTAAATGCAAATCTCATGAACTGGACTATCATCTTTGACCCATAAGAAAATTATGTGAGAGAAAATGTTTTGAGCAATATGTTTTATTATTTATAAAATATTTTAATACTCAAAATTCTCACTATATGCAAATAGGCTTTCTGATAAACCTGTGCTTTACTTCCTATAAAGCTGACCAAGTAACACCCCAATATCATTTGAGATGGCATGTGGTGACTGGGGAGATAAATGAAGAAAACGTCAGATTATCTTTGTAATTCACCACTCCCCTAGAGGGACATTAGTAAATTCCATGTATTCCAAAATCTAGCAATAACTCTTAAGGCAAATGCCATTTTGTGTCATAAACAATGGGTGCTATCTCAGCACCAAGTCTTTAATCAGACTGCCTTCACTGATAATTGAACCTTTTCACCATACCTTCTTACAATACCTAATATCATTGCAGAATAACAAATGTTCTTTTTCCTACACATTGGACTGTCACTCCAAGAAAACTAAATCTATTTTGGAGTATTACAATTATCTCTTTTACTCATGACCTGGAATAAATAATATTTAACCAATATAAATTACTTTTAAATGAGTCATATCTTAAATTTATTTTAAAGAAGATAAATATTCATCGAAAACTTCTGGGAAGATATTATTAAGAGCAAGCATTCCAGGAATTTCTTCTTCTATATTCCCATTAAAATATACATTGATAATAAAAATAGTCTCCATGTCTTAAAACTTACTGTATAACAGGCACTATGATAGATACAACATTTTTTTAAACTCATTTAATTCTTACAACAGCCTTTTGAAAGAATGAAACTGAAAGTCTTGGAAGTGAATTTCCTAAAGTTACTGAGCTACAAAATGGCAAAGCTGGGATTTTGACCTAAATCTGTCTAACACCAAAGTCTAATTGCTTTAAGCATGCATGTAGAAAAAAAAACTAATTGGCTTGTAAGTTAGTACCAAGCATAAACAATATTCAACTGCAGTTTCCATTGATAATGATTAAAATATAAATGAAAACAAATTTTTAAAATTATAAGATAAATCCAGACCTTTAAAGTTAAAATACTGAATGACATTGAAATGCTTATTGTATTTTAAACCTTACATGTTGAGACACATACAAAGATAAGGTATATATCACCATCAGAGCAGTACATATTTCTGTTATATAGAAACAGATACCTAAGATAATAACAAAACTATTCCTTAAGAATATTTTAAACTACTTACAAACAAATAATTTCAGAGAGTGAATTCCTGATGCACTTTCTACCTTAAACTCCTTCTTAACTTGGAGGTGAAAGAAAAACCTTGTGACCAAAAACTAAGAAGTTAGCAGTTCCTACAAAATTAGTTTCATAAGAACTCAACTTCAAATGAATGACATTGTTGTTGCTAAATGACCTCAAAGTGACCTGTTGGATCTTAAGATGTATAATTGTTCCACACTGTTTCAAGTAAAAGAAGCCCTCAAAGTGTAGCATTTTATTGTCATGGTTAGAATGACTATATATTGTATCACGAAATCAAGGAAACTTAGAAGTGAAAGGAGGCACTGCTGATAACTATGTCAGAACAAAAGTAAAATAGGGTTGTCATGGGCAAACCAGGGCATATAGTCACCCTAAAGACATCATTTCTACAGAAGACCCAATAGCTAAAGGATTATATATCCCCAGTGATACATGAGCAGGACAAGAAAAGAGATGAAGCTAAGATAAAATAGTTTGTTATGAATATAATTTTAAAAAAACTAAAACACTTTCTGCTTCTGTTATAGCAAGATAAGCTCCTGCGGGAACAATCATCCTGCAAATAACAACTACAATTTATTTAACAACTCTAAATTATTAGGGGAGGGGAACTGGCTGAAAGCCCTGGGAGATACAAAAGATACATTCAGAAGAAGAGTCAAAACTTGAAAGAAGGGTATGCCACCAGAAAGCCTTTCCTATTTTTGTAGCTTTTTTTGCATGAGTGCTGCAAGGTTGGAGGCTACATAGAGTGGCTACAATGCTAGGGAAAAAAGTCAGTCTTCTGGGTATGTCAGAATTTGGAGCAGTACTTTGATGGCTGAAAACTGAAGGGAAAATCTCAGGAAAAAGGAAGCTGGAAAAAGCAAGCCGGAGAAAGGAAGCAGCAAATATTGTTTATAAACACTGTACAAACCTTTTCCAATGAAGAAACTTTCAAGCATGGGACAGGAGTCCAACTAAATTAACTTGATCTGATATTTGAGCTGCTTCTGAAAACAGGCAATTTGCAGTTAAAGTTGAACCAAAGTTGTTCCTATTAAAACAACTATCAGCACTCTGCAAAGAAATAAAAAAAAAACCCTACTGACATGTTGTTCAAAATGTCCTGGATAAAATACAAAATTATTTGACATACAAGGAATCAGAGAAATGTGACCTACACTCTAGAATACGGGTCAGCAAATATTTCTCTGTAAGGGATTAGATAGTAAATATTTCAGATTTTGCCAGCCATTTAGGGTCTCTGTAAAATATACATCTTCTTTTTAATAAACATTTACAAATTAAAAATATTTCTTAGCTCACCTCAATAAGCCACAAACTATGGTCCACAGGCCAAATCTCACTTACAGTCTGAATTTTTAGTTTCCTAGGATCTGAATGATTTTTACAATTTTAAAGAATTATTAAAGAAGAATAATGTGTGAGAGAGATATATGTGGCATGCAAAAGCTAAAATATTTTCTATCTGACCCTTTATAGAAAAACTTTGCCAAGCCTCTAGAGCAAGGGTTGTCAAACTATGGCCTAAGAGACAAATCTAGCATATCATCTGTTTTTATAAAGCTGCGTGTTAAGAATGGTTTTTAGATATTAGTCCACAAATCAATCAACATTCACATATAACAGGTATAGGATATTATCAATTCTAGTACTATGTTTTTAATTCTTGAAGATAAATTTAAAATTTTATTGCAAAAATGGGAACCAATAGAATCTAGCTTGATTTTTAAATCAGTAATTTCTAGAAACATGTTATTTGCTCTATAGCCAAGAGCCAAAGACTCTCATCTTTAGCAACTACTGCAGAAAAAAGAGGAGTTGTAAAAAAGATGGTTCATTGCTCAATGATGAAATCTTCTCACAACATAATGAGTTGTCAAACAGCTGAATTATATCCTTGAAATTGGAAAAATCAAGTACTTTCATCATTGTGCAATAGTTAAAACACAAACTAGCAGGCTTTTTACTCTATAATTTACTTGTAGTAAAAAAAATCCATTACTTTTGTATGGTAAAAGTAATGCCATGGTTTTTTTGGGTTTTTTTTTTTTTTTTTTTTTTGGTATGGTGAAAGTAAAAGCTGCTACCTACTAAAATTTGCATTCATTCTTTCAAAATACTTTAATGAATTGTCCTAAAAGTCCTGATGCTTATTTTCCTAAAATGCTAAATAGTTTATCTCACTGTTCTCAGAACTACATACATAGCTCCATCTACAGCAACATTCTTTTGCCTTTTTTGGTTTTATGATTCTATACAGGTTGGAAAGTGAATTGATAAAGAAATAAACAAGCAAATTATTGATAAATGAATAGACAAATGGAAACAAATAGAAAAAGGATTTTGACTACAATAATACCTTCACAAGCCTTACAATGTACATTAAGAGGTAAAAATAGTTCTAATAGGTGAAAATTAAATAGATAGATATTAAATAGATAGATTAGATTGATAGATAGATAGATAGTACATAGGTAGATACATAGTAGATAGATAGCAAATAGGTGATAAACAGATACATTGATTGATAGAGAGACAGACAGATAGATAGATAGATAGATAGATAGATAGATAGATAGATAGATAGTACATAGGTAGATACATAGTAGATAGCAAATAGGTGATTGATTGGTAGAGAGACAGATAAACAGATACATAGATATGGATGGATAGATAGATAGATAGATAGATAGATAGATAGATAGATAGATAGATTCATACAACATAAAGTGTGTTTTCTTGCAGCCAAAGGTAGATGGGTCAGATTAAATAAGCACCAATAGTGAACCAGCTACATTGTCAGGGTATATCCCTGGGTTTCATCATCTTGCGCCAGGAAATTTAGAACACAGACACACACAAGGAGTTTAGGAGTGGAGGTTTAATAGGAAGATGAAAAGAGAAAGAGAAACAGCTCTCTCTCTAGAGAGAGAGGGGTATCTGACAGGAAAAGACTGGATGGTGATGGATGCACCAGATTTTATAGTCCAGCTTAAAAAGGTGGCATCTGATTTACACAGGGCTCACAGATTGATTTGATCAAGTGTGACATTTACATAGTGCACAGGGAAGGCTTGTTGTCCCACCCTAATCTCATTATGCAAATGGGCTTTCCAGTTAATCGGTACCATCTTGTCTGCTCCTTACTGTACATATGGCTGACAAAGAGAAGGGAAGATGGAGCAGCTATCTTGAACATGATTGACACAACTGCCAGTATCTATGTCTGCAGCTCAATTTTACAGGCTCCTCTTCATCAGAAAGGAAAATAATTAGGGATTACTTTTTATTAAAAGGAAAACCTTACCAAGGACTTCTGTACCCTATCTGCCTAAGTAATTTCTTTTTAATTCCTGTATCATTCTCCCCTCTGGAGTGGTAACCCTAACTACTGTTACTGGGTGTTGGACAACAACTCTTTCTGGCTACTTCCTGCTGAAAAGAGGCATTGTGTGGGGAACAGCATCTAGGATTACTCCTGGGGTTGATCTAAAGGTCCTTGGAAGAAACACATATCCATGTGTGGTTCTGTCTGCAGCACCATTTGGATTTTGATTGCTGTCAGCTATTCTGATGGGTTATAATACTGGTTTGCCTCCACCAGATATCGTTGAAATGTTAGTATAAAAGTAACATTCATTTTAGGGTAAGTGGCATTGGATTTGGGTGGCTAGACTAACGTTAGTGTTAACCCTGGGTAAATCTTTCCTGCAATTATTAACCCCTTAAAAACTTCCACAGACCATCTAAGACATGCTTAAACCTTCTGACTTGTCCTAAATATCCCTCTTTTAAACAACCAACTATTCTCTTTAGGACAAGTATTTACCATACAAGATCCTTTCTTATATAAAATCTCTTTCCATTATAACCTTCTTTCCATAGCCAAGGTGTGATATATAACCAAACCCAATAAGATGTCCTAGCCAACTCAGTGATAGTAAAATTTTCAGGCTTCCTTTTTGTTGGTTACTATTATCCCAGCTATAAAGATAATAATTAAGCAAAATACTATGGCAATGGAAACTCTCTGTGCGATATTTCACTTAGAAGGTGCTACCATGTAAAGCTCTACTACAAATCATAGATTGAGTATAGCAATTACTGCAAGGGAGATGTAGTATATTATTTCCATCTAAAATTTTACTTGCCAAAATATAGAATTTCCTTTTGGGAATTCTATGAAGTTCCTTGGTTTTATTTTCCAAACAAAGAAACATCTGGGTTTTGGGCATCCTACTGACTTTCATTATCTGGCAGAGTTTGTGGAATAATTGCCCAGAACTAATTGCCCTATAACTAATCCAGATTTTTACATTACTCATTTTTTTTTTGCTTATTGCAAGCTGTAGGAGATCATGTAAAACTGTTTAGTGATCTCAAACACATTTTGCACTGTTAACTCTTAGCAACTTTTACTTTTGGTGAAAAACCTTGTTAGTAAGCGATTTTAATTATGTACCAGCTGTGGAGCCTAGGACCCAAACAGAAGTGCAGATAAGCTCTGACTCCTTCCAGCTTCTAACTCCATGTGTCCTAGGCCTTACCTATCTGTAAAGCACACAGCATACAACCTTGGGACATTTAGCAAACCTAGTATCTAAGTTGTATTATTTAGACCACTTATTTGCATTTTGATGACACTTGCATTTTGCCAATGATTCTTAAGACTATTTTCATTTCTTAAAGATTAAAGTCACATGAACTAAAAAATATTTGATTTATGTGCTTATTTTTTCTTAAGCCAATCAATTAGAGCTCTTTAAAGACTTTACACACAACACATATATAGCAACACAAACAGACAGAAGATTCAGCACTTATAAGATTTTTCATTTGCCAGTTCCTTAACTGAATTACTGGTTTCAGGATTGCATCCTTGGAGGAACAGGGCCAGGAAAGCATGCATTTCTAGGGCATAATAAGCAGGCACAGCTGAAGGCAAAGACAGATTCCTAAAATTAAGAGTGCCATTATATACTGGATCTTGGATCACCAAAAGGAGGGATATACTATGGGAGAAGACAATGCAGTACTTCTACCATGCATTTCATTGCAAGGCAACCCAAGGCCAGTTGGCTTATTTTGTAATCAGCCCATCCCTCATGGGAGTCTCATCTCTTGACTCGGGGGATGCGGGGTGGGTGGGGATGTTTCCATACTTTTCAGGTGGCCAAGAGCATGCTTCTCTGTTTCAAATGTGAATGCGATTGAATTCAAATTCAAATTCATGTCTCCTAACTGGTTGTTACACACCATAGCTCTCTCATAATGTGATGTAATTTGATACCCCCAAACTAAAAACTATCAGATAACACAATGCAAAACAGAACAGAACATTTGATTTTGAGAGGGAACTATCTGCTTTTAATTCCAGCGGTTTCCTGAAGAAAACAGAGGGTTTTTTTTTCCAAGGAGTCTCAGGCTACCAGAAGTTATCTTAGGGGCTCTCTTGTGTGCATTAAGAGCAGCAAGACAAAAAAAATGGAGAAAAATTGTTCGGTTGACTAAAAAGAAAAAAAAAAATCTTTTTCCAGAAAAGTGAGATCCAAGAAGAGAAAAACAAAGGCCTTTTAAATATCCCTATAACTTGAATATCCACTTTTAATTAAGCTGAGCACTCTATAAGAAAATCCTTTTAAATCCCTTGTTACTCTACTTTAGCCTTGCCAAGCAGTTAAGATTTTCAGCTTTTGAACTGAAAAGTTAAATAGCTCACAGGTGAAACCAACAAGCTTTAATTAAGTTATGACTTAATCATGAGTATACAAGGCATTTTCAAAGGGATGATAAGCAGCTTTTGAAACCGTCATTGCAAAATTGTGACTGCGATAGTGAAAGAGATCCAACCCAACCAACACCATTTTGTTTTCATCCCCCAAGCCGCTCTTGTCCGTCCCTGTGCATAGGCTGAACCAATTTGGGGAGGAGCCAGTTTAAAGTTCATAGTTCAAAACAAAAGTGATAACAGCCCCTTTCTAAGATATACTTCCCTCCTGCCTGGGGACCAGACCAAGAAACTAGCCACAAAATTAAAAACCATGGCTTAGGAGTCACGTAGGTGGAGTCTACAAGATTTTGACCCTCCTTTAACTGATCTCAAGATCAGTGTTTAAGTTATTTTGTAAACTTGCCCTTGGTGGATTAGCCATCCCCACCCAGATTAATAAATTGGCTGATCTGATTTTGTGGCCCTCACCCAGGAACTGACTTAGCACAAGAAGACAGCCACCATTGTAAAATGTCAGAGACTAAAACAAAGTATTGCCACTTGGTTACAGGGCATGCTCCCAGGACGTGAAACAAGATGGTGGCCTGTAGTCAAGTTTGTTACTGACCATTTTGTTGGGCTGACTTGAATGGAAGGCTTATGGGGTCCTGGGTCTGCATCCCAACCTAAGATACCCTTTCTTGTGACAGAACCATACAGAAAGACACACAAGCACACCATATTGGCTACAGCTTAAGACCAAACATGTGAATCTTTTTTCATTAATTAAAACTTTACAGAGAATGTAAACAATGATCCTTATTATCCCTTTTACCAGTTTGCACAGGGAGAGAGAACACAAAACCCCACTGGTAAGAAATTTTTACCTTTTTGCCGGCATGTCAGTCTTCTGTGTTCCCCTCCCCTCAGCTCAACTTGAGCCAAACATGTTAAGGTTTGAGAAAATTAATTTTTCCCAAGTTGCTTTAACATTATAAAGGAAAGGATAAAAGCTGTTTTAAACCATGAAAGGAGGAAAAGCACCACAGAAAAGTCTGGGGATTCCAATAGGGATGTCAGGAGGTGCTGCCTCTCTTCCTATTGGGAATTGTGTTTCCTCTATTTCTTTGCCTTCCCTCTTTTCTGTTTTCCCTTTTGGCCTACTATAGGAGATCTATTGCTGATCTCCTAAATTCTCTGCTGCCTTCAGAGCTGCCTGTTTTTTGATGGCAGTTAGGGTTTGGCTTACGAGTAGCTTAACATCCCTTCATGAGAGGTTAAACACCTGAGTTAAATTTTGAAAAGCTTCTATGAAATTATCGGGGTCATCAGAAAATCGGCCTAGGTCTCCCTTTATTTTCCTAAGGTGCTGTTATGAGAAAGAAACTTGAGGAGGTCCCGAATAAGGGGGACCCTCAAATGGTTACCCCGCAAGTTGTTTCTTTAATTTTGAAGAATCATTCTCTATAGGCCTGCCTGATATGGCTGCTAAAAGGGCTGGGTTGATTGTTCAGTGCTTACAAAGATCTAGTAAGAAGGCCAAGCCCTTGTGGAAAAGAAAATGAACCACTTTTTCTTCAAAGTTTCAAGGTCAAAGCAGTCCTCGTGCTTCAGAATGCGCTCCAGGAGTGCAAACTGAAGATCATCTGTTTCCCATCTAGAAAGAGAAGCGAGAAAAAGGCATCCCGTTTTTCTCGCTTTCGGTGTGACCCAGGGTGGAGGAGAATACAATGGGGATATCCCCCTGCTGTTTTCCCTCCTTGGTTCCTGGGACTGAGCACCTTCTTAAATATGCCACCCATGGTTGCAGGTGTGACCCCAGCCATGGAACCAGAGGAACTAAGCAATTGGGATTGGTCATGCTTATCTATATGACTCTAGTACTCCACCTGTAATTTCCCTTTGACTTCCTAGACTTGTGTGACCTGCCTTGCTCCCTGAAAAAAATGGATCTCAGGAGAGACTATGTGACAGTTGCATTTGTGCAACTGTTGCACTTCCCTCCTTAATGGAGGAAGTATGCTGGTTTTAGCTCTGTATCCTGCTATTATGGTCTATACTAAAGCATTTACCCTTAGAGAATGGTTCTGGTTAATTTCTAAACTTAAAATGCCCTTACTAATTAAGCTGGGGATTTTAATTCTAACTGGAGGCAAAATAGGTGCCTTACAAGTATGTAGGGACCGAATGGTCCATTTTCCTGCTGATGGTACAGTATTGAGACTAAAATTTGGCTTCAGAGGACATTTTACTCCTAGTTGTTGAAGGCAGAATTTTCCATTTTACAGAAGCAGCATAAAGCCTGGTTTCTAGTTGAGAGGTGCAAAAAGGGGAGCACATTGGGAAGCTAGGGTGTTTCAGTAAAGGACTGACAATGTGACTCATGGAGAGGATTCTTATTCCACTAGGTGGTGGTGTTGACCTGGAAATCCATGTGCTCTTCAGCCTAAGGGCAGAGAGAGATGCTCCCACTGTGAGCCAGGACCCTCTGTTCCTAGAAAATCACAAAGATGCCTTCCCTTGAGCTATATCAGCAGTTACTATGACATTCCCTGAACTTGCCCAACAAGATTACTTCCTTGAACTGTAAAACTTCCTACACATTGCATACACAGAGAACATAATAGATATGACAGTCCCAGACAGGAAAGGAGGAAATTACAGTAGGAAAATTGGAGATCCTGTTGCTGACACCCCATCAAGAGGTCAGAGGTTGAGGTTAGTCCAGAAGCCTTCGGGGGTAGCCCCAGCTAGAAATCCTCAGTTGCCCCAGGACTTCTTCCTGCCCCACATGATGGCTAAGTCCTCCATGAAAGGAAGTGAGTTCAAACCTGGCCAACATGCCCAGCAACCTGTTGGTGCTGGGAGATTGTCCATGTTCTACCCAGTAAGCCTGTACCCAAAGTCTTGTAAGGCTTACAGCCAAGCTAATCATTTTTAAATGGCTGCGGGGGACCCAGTACTTGGTTTGATTTCATCCCACAACGGATGCCAAGAGCCTTAAAATGAAAGGACAAAGTTGGGGTCTGTTCCTCTACTCACTGTTTCAATGAATGTTGTACCAGGTATCCCAGACAAGGTCCCCAACATGAAGAAGCTACATTATCTGGGGTATATACACTGGGGTTCATTGTCTCATGCCAGGAAAATTTAGGACATGGACACACATGGAGTTTAGGAGTGGAGGCTTAATAGGAAGAAGAGAAGAGAAAGAGAAACAGCTCTCTCTATATAGAAGGCGGTGTCTGATTTATGTAGCCTAACAGATTGGTTCAATCAGATGTGTTTACATAGCACACAGGGGAAGGCTGGTTGCCTTACCCTAATCTGATTATGCAAATGGGCTTTCCAGTTGATCAGCGCCATCTTGTGTACTCCTTACTGTACATGTGGCTGACAAAGAGAAGGGAAGATGGATCTACCATCTTGAACATGATTGGCACGGCTGCTGATATTTATGTCTGCAGCTCAATTTTACAGGCTGCTCTTTGTTAGAAATGAAAATAATTTGCGGCTATTTTTTTATTAAAGGGAAAACCTTACCAAGGACTTCTATACCTTCACAATCTTCCTAAGTAATTTCTTCTTAACTCATGTATCTATAAGACATTTCTTGCCACTATAGATAGGTTACAATCAAGATCCTGGTAAAGCCAAATTAGATGGCTTATTATTAAATCAGTGTTTCTCAAACTTTGATGGACACCATGAAGTGTCTGTAGAGATTATTAATAAAAATGGTATCAGTATTCTCAGCCCAGAAAATCTGATTTAGCAGAATTGGGCAGGGTTTGAGTATCTCTATTTGTTCTATTTTCATACTGGTGTTGAAGTAATCTAATGTTTGAAAAATATTTGATTAGAGACAATGTTACATTTGGTGTATAGTTGTGTAGTTAGTGGAGCTTTTAAAAACAATATAGATGCTTAGACATCACTCCATAACAACTGAATCAGAATCTCTGAGTATAAGGTCCAGAAATCCACATTTAATGTGTGCCCTCAAACTACCATTTTATAAGAACTAAAAAGTGTTTACAAAATTGATATTTTAAAAATTTGTATTTGTTTGGACTTCAGGGATACACATTCAAGAATCTTGTATTATAACATAATATATTACAAATAAAAAAGAATTTTCTATACTAGCACTTTGTAAACAATGTGTGAAACATTAACCTTCAATACTTAATGGAATATCTACCAGATTGTTTTCAGTCCTGCAATCACCTCACATCTTTTAGCTGCTCAATCAGTCAGTGCAGCTTGAAGATCAAAGGAAAATTCTGCACAAGATCAACCTTGTGTAGAAGGGTATTCCTCCTGCTAAAATACATCTTACAAATGTATTGATTTCCTAAAAAGATCAGGTGAAAACTGAATAAATTTTACCAACTACAACAAGACAACTTAAGAAGTGCAAGAGTACGTCTAGCTTGTATTTTACAAAACCGTATTTGCTTTGTATTATATCAATTCACAGATCTGTACATATGTGAGAAAATTGAGTTTTTCTTCTTATTCAGTTTCATCAGTGAGAAAAAAATGTGTTTCACTTAGGATTGAATATTTTACAAGTCTAACAAATTGTCAGTTTAGCTTCAGGTTATTTTGATCAACTCCTAGGTAGGAGAGGTAATCAAATTTTGTTTCATTGTCAATTTTATTGAGAAGAGTTCCAAGTCATTGAAGACATAAGGAGAGGAGAGGTTAAAGAATATAAAAGTATCTGGTCACAATTTCTGAGCAGAGTAAAATAATTGGAAATTGACTGCAATTATTATAAAAGGGATTTTATTGATATTTTAAAATCATATTTTAATGAACAAAAATTACATAAAATCACATTACCCTTTATTTTTCATGCAACAGATACTTTCTAATCTTTACTTCAACTACCTGGTTTTTATTCAATTATGTAGTATGGATAGGATCCTTTCTTTATTATTAGCCATAAAATTAAGTACTCAATATATTATACAAATTCATAGAGCTAGCTACTCAGCCTTTTAAGTCAAATATCTGCCTTAAAAATTTAAAAATTAAAATCCAAACTCTAGAACATATTTTTAATACAGGTGATAAATACCTCAACTGAAAACCACCACAACAAAACATGTAAGAGCCTTTGACAATAATCACAATATATCCATATGTTCATTGACATCACCCTTATGTCACACTGTTTCTTTGTGAAAAGAAAAAAAATACACATAAAAAAACTATGTGACTTGTAAATTAGAACATTCTTAAAGAAACATATTTTCAACAATATGCTGGAATAAGCTGTTATAAAAGGATAGTCTTCTTGCTGAAACAAATGAAAACACTAATTAAAAAATATGAGTTAGTAACATTAAAGAAATCACTCTGCTCAAAATAAATAAATTCAAAAGTCATTTGCATGTGCCAGAGACAAAAAGAAAACTGAAGGTAAGAAAGGTAAGCAGCCATCAAGATCAAGGCATCTCCTAAGGCAGCAGATCCTGGACAAAGGGCTGAAGGATGAGTATGAAGACCAAGATTGGATAGATGTGGCCTCAGGCCTGAAGCAGATAGAGGAATCAAGGGGAGCCACTGTGTAACTCATAAAGCTTCTAAGGACTGCAAAGTATATAAATTGTAGGGCACAAGTAGTAAGCAATCAACAGCCAATGTGTATAGAAAGAAAACTAGAATGCTGGAGGCATAAAATTATAAAGCATATACAAAACCATCCTAACATTAAAGAGAGTTAGCTAATAAAAAAAAGTGAATTATAGAAATAACACCTTAAAGAACCTAGAAAATGAAAACTATTTTACAGTGATTATAAAATAAGAATAGAAGAACTTATAAACTGATTGAAGTGATAAGACAAGGAATAAATACCATGAAGAACAAAATTGTTTAAAAAATAAAATACTGGTTTGAAAAACAAATATTTTATTTCTAAAAACAACTTTATTGCAGTACTTTATATGTCATAAAATTTACCTATTTCAAGTGTACAAGTTAGCCATTTTTAGTGACTTCACTGAACCATTATAGTAATGGTGAAACTGAGAGATGAAGCCAGCTGGACCCCCTGGGTTGATTGAGGACTTGGAGAACTTTTCTGTCTAGCTAAAGGTTTGTAAACACACCAATCAGCACTCTGTAAAAATGTACCAATCAGCACTCTGTGTCTAGCTAAAGTTTTGTAAATGCACCAATCAGCACTCTGTAAAAATGGACCAATCAGCACTCTGTAAAATGGACCAATCAGCAGGGTGTGGGCAGGGCCAATAAAGGAATAAAAGCTGGCCAACCCCAGCTAGCAGCAGCAACCAGCTCGGGTCCGCTTCCACATTGTGGAAGCTTTGTTCTTTCACTCTTCACAATAAATCTTACTACTGCTCACTCTCTGGGTCCACACTACCTTTGTGAACCGTAACACTCACTGCAAAGGTCTGCAGCTTCACTCCTGAAGTCAGCGAGACCACAAACCCACTGGGAGGAACAAACAACTCCAGATGCGCCACCTTTAAGAGTTGTAACAATCACTGTGAAGGTCTGCCCCTTCACTCCTGAAGTCAAGCGGGACCATGAACCCACCAGAAGGAAGAAATTCTGGACACATCTGAACATCTGAAGGAACAAACTCCGGACACACCATCTTTAAGAACTGTAACACTCACCACGAGAGTCCGCGGCTTCATTCTTAAAGTCAGCAAAACCAAGAACCCACCGGAAGGAACCAATTCTGGACACAAAACCATTAACATAAATCAGTTTTAGAACATTTTTTCTCCTTAATAAGATCTCTTATGCCCATTTACACTTAACCCATGTCCCATACTTAGACCTAGGCAATGAGAAAACTACTTTCTGTCTTTATGAATTTGATGTTTCTGGACACTTCATATAAATAAAATTATACAATGTGTGGTCTCTTATATTTGTCTTCTTTCACTAGGCATGATGTTTTTGAGATTTGTCCATAATTGAGTGGTCCCTGCAGCAGGGCAGGCTGGTACTGTGGTTTCCCACTTTGGTAAGTTTGCCTCTGCTGCTCAGTCAGGGAGGGACAGCAGTGGGAAGGACACAGTGGCACCAAACGGGCCTAGACCTCTGGGCAGCATGAACGGAACAGCTGCCCACTGGAGGTCAGAGAATATGGGGGAGCAAGACCTGAGGCCATGTCCACTTCTGCCATTGAGTGCCCAGGGTTCAAATCACGGCAGATTTGAGGCAAGACTAGATTGCAGCTTCAACTTGAATGGACAGAGCAGCATGAGGAGGCTCACACTGTGAATTTTAGCTCCGGATCCACTGCAAAAACAAACCAGCAATCCTGAGGACCCAAAGACGCTCTGAAGGAAGCAGACTGTTCCCACAGGACCCAGGAGACACCCCAAATACTATGAGTGCCCCAACTGTGGAAAGTGGGAAAGGGAGAGCCTCCTCTCCCAAACACACAACCCCACTGGAGAAACTGAAGGTCTGTTTGCGGGAGAAGTTTGTGACCTTACCTGGAGCTGAGTCAGTTTAGAGAGCTGAGCAAAATACAGGGATAGAGGAAGCAGCAGAAAGGCCCTGGGAGCTTGCTTGGTCCCCAAGCAAGCCATTCCTGCCTGGCACCACAGGGATCCACTGGGAGGGAGGCCAGAGGAGTTGGGGAGAAAAGACCACAGGGAGAAGGAGAAGGAAATCTCCAGCTGAACTTTGTAACAATTTGAATGAGGTGAGACACCTCCTGGCCAGAACTCAGGGGAGGGTGCAAATCCAGTGTGCAGACTTCACAGGTAGGGAGAAAAAACAAGCCCATTTCTTTCACAGCTGGGAGGTGGGTAGCCTGGGGCAAGTTCTCAAGTCCAGCTCAGCCACCACCTGGAAACAGACTTGGGGCTGTTGTGGGGCACGGTGTGAGTGAGACCAGTCCTTTGGTTTGCATGGGAACTGGGTGAGGCCCATGACTGCCGGCTTTCCTCCAATTCCCTGACAACCTACATTACTCAGCTGAGGCAGCCATAATCCTCCTAGGTACACAACTCCATTGACCTGGGAATCTCACTCCCATCCCCCAGAGCAACAGAAGCAAGACCCACCCAAGGAGAGTGAATTCAAACATGCCTAGCACTTCCCCTACCTGATGCTCCTTCCCTACCCAACCTGGTAGCTGAAGACAAAGGGCATATAATCTTGGGAGTTCTAGGGCCCTACCCACTGCCAGTTCCTCTTCATACTACCACAGCTGATGCTCTCTGAAAAGCACCACGTCCCAGCAGAAGGCCAACCAGCACAAAAACAGAGCATTAAGCCACCAAAGCTAAGAACTCTCATGGAGTCCATTTCACCACTCTGCCACCTCCACTGGAATAGGCATTGGTATCCACAGCTGAGAGATCCATAGATGGTTCACATCACAGGACTCTGTGAAGACAGCCCCCAGTACCAGCCCAGAGCCAGGTAGACTTGCTGGGTGGCTAGACTCAGAAGAGAGATAAAAATCACTGCAGTTTGGCTTACAGAAAGCCACACCCATAGGAAAAGGAGGGGAAGTACTGAATAAAAAGAACACCCCATGAGACATTCTGAACAACAGCCTTCAGCCCTAGACCTTCCCTCTGACAGAGCCTACCCAACTGAGAAGGAACCAGAAAACCAACTGTGATAATATGACAAAACAAGACTCTTTAACACTCCCCCCCCAAAAATCACACTTGTTCACCAACAACGGACCCAAACCTAGAAGAAATCCCTGATTTACCTGAAAAAGAATTCAGGAGGTTAGTCATTAAGCTAATCAGGAAGGCACCAGAGAAAGGTGAAGCCCAATGCAAGGAAATCCAAATATTCAAGGAAATAGATAGCTTAAAGAAAAAAACAATAAAAAATTCAGGAAACATTGGATACACTTATAGAAATGCAAAATGCTCTGGAAAGTCTCAGCAATAAAACTAAACAAGTAGAAGAAAGAAATTCAGAGCTTGAAGACAAGGTCTTTGAATTAACCCAATCCAACAAAGACAAAGAGAAAAGAATAAGAAAAGATGAACAACATCTCCAAGAAGTCTGGGATTATGTTAAATGACCAAACCTAAGAATAATTGGTTTTCCTGAGGAAGAAGATAATTCTAAAAGCTTGAAAACCATATTTGGGGGAATAATCAAAGAAAACTTCCTTGGCCTCCCTAGAGACCTAGACCTCCAAATACAAGAATCACAAAGAACACATGGGAAATAAATTTTAAAAAATCATTGCCTAGGTACATTGTCACCAGGTTAGCCAAAGTTAAGATGAAGGAAAGACTCTTAAGAGCTGTGAGACAGAAGCACCAGGTAACCCATAAAGAAAAACCTATCAGGTTAACAGCAGATTTTTCAGCAGAAACACCACAAGCTAGAAGGGATTGGGGCCCTTTCTTCAGCCTTCTCAAATGAAACAATTGCCTTTTGTATCCAGAGAAACTAAGCTTCATATATGAAGGAAAGATACAGCCTTTTTCAGACAAACAGATGCTGAGAGAATTTGCCACTACTAAGCCACCACTACAAGAACTGCTAAAAGGAGCTCTAAATCTTGAAACAAATCCTGGAGATACATCAAAACACAACCTCTTTAAAGCATAAATCACACAGGACCTATAAAACAAAAATACAAGTTAAAAAGCAAAAACAAAAAACAAAAGCACACAGGCAGCAAATAGCATGATGAATGCAATGGTACCTTGCATCTCAATACTAACATTGAATGTAAATGGCATAAATGCTCCACTTAAAAGATACAGAAACTGCAGAATAAATAAGAAACTGCAGAATAAATAAAACACTTAAAAGATACAGAACTACAGAATAAATAAGAACTCACCAACCACTAACTTCTGCCGTCAGGAGACTCATCTAACACATAAGGACTCACATAAACTTAAAGGAGGGGGAAAAGGCATTTCATGCAAATGGACACCAAAAGTGAGCAGGGGTAACTATTCTTACATCAGAATATCAGACAAAATAAACTTTAGAACAACAGCAGTTAAAAGAGACAAAGAGGGACATTATGTAATGGTAAAAGGCATTGTCAACAGGAAAATATCACAATCCTAAACATATATGCACCTAACACTGGAGCTCCCAAATTTATAAAACAATTACTAATAGACATAAGAAATGAGATAGACAGCAATACAATAATACTGGGGGACTTCAATACTCCACTGACAGCACTAGACAGCTCATCAAGACAGATAGTCAACAAAGAAACAATGGATTTAAATTATACCTAGGAACAAACGGACTTAACAGATACATACAGGACATTCTATTCATCAGCTCATGGAAATTTCTCCAAGATAGACCACATGATAGGCCATAAAACGAGCCTCAAAAAATTTAAGAAAATTGAAATTATATCAAGCACTCTTTCAGACCACAGTGGAATAAAACTAGAAATAACTCCAAAAGAAACGTTCAAAACGATGCAAATACATGGAAATTAAATAACCTGGTCCTGAATGAGCACTGGGTCAAAAATAATCAAAGTGGAAATTTAAAAATCCTTTGAACTGAATAACAATAATGACACAACCTATCAAAACCTCTGAGATACAGCACAGGCAGTGCTAAGAGGAAAGTTCATAACCCTGAATGCCTACATCAAAAAGACTGAAAGAGCACAAACACATTATAAGGTCACACCTTAGGGAACTAGAGAAACAAGAACAAACCAAACCCAAACACAGCAGAAGAACGGAAATAACCAAGATTAGAGCATAACTAAATGAAATTGAAACAAAAATAATACAAAAGATAAATGAAACAAAAAGCTATTTTGTGAAAAGATAAATAAAATTGATAGATCATTAGCAAGATAAACCAAGAAAAGAAGAGAAAATCCAAATAACATCATTAAAAAATAAAACAGGAGATATTACAATTGTCACAACTGAAATAAAAGATAATTCAAGGCTACTATGAACACCTTTATGTGCATAAACTAGAAAACCTAGACGACATGGATAAACGCCTGGAAAAATGCAAACCTCCTATCTTAAATTAGGAACAATTAGACACATGAACAGACCAATAACAAGAGTTATTGAAATGTCAATTAAAAAATTACCAACAAAAAAAGTCCAGGACCAAAAGGATTCACAGCGGAATTCTACCAGCCTTTCGAAGAATAATTGGTACCAATCTTTTTGACACTATTCCACAAGATAGAGAAAGAAGTAACCCTCCCTAATTCATTCTGTGAAGCCAGCATCACTCTAATACCAAAATCTGGAAAGGACATAACCAAAAAGGAAAACTACAGACCGATATCCTTGATGAACATATATGCTAAAGTCCTTAACAAAATTCTAGCTAATCGAATCCAACAACATATCAAAAAGATAATCCACCATGATTAAGTGGGTTTCCTACCAGAGATGCAGGGATCATTGAACATATGCAAGTCGATAAATGTGATACACTACATAAACAGAATTAAAAACAAAAATCACATGATCATCTCAATAGATGCAGAATAAAGCATTTGACACAATCCAGCATTTCTTTATGATTAAAACTCTCAGCAAAATTGGTGTATAAGGGACATACTTCAACGTAATAAAAGCCATCTATGACAAACCCACAGACAACATAATACTGAATGGGGAAAAGTTGAAAGCATTTTCCCTGAAAACTGGAACAAGACAAGGATGCCCACTTACACCACTCCCCTTCAACGTAGTACTGGAAGTCCTAGCCAGAGCAATTAGACAAGAGAAAGAAATAAAGGGCATCCAAATTGGTAAAGAAAAAGTCAAACTGTTACTGTTTGCTGATTATATAATCATTTATCTTGAAATCCCTGAAGACTTCTCCAGAGAGCTCCTAGAACTGATAACAGAATTCAGCAAAGTTTCCAGATACAAGATTAATGTACATAAATCAGTAGCTCTTCTATACCCAACAGTGACCAAGCAGAGAATCAAATCAAGAACTCAACCCCTTTTACAATAGCTGCAAAAAAATGAAAGTCTTACGAATATACCTAACCAAAGAATCAAAATATTTCTACAAGGAAAGCTATGAAACACTGCTGAGAGAAATCATAGATGACACACAAAAAATGGAAACACATCCCATGCTTATGGATGGGTAGAATCAATATTGTGCAAATGACCATACTGCCAAAAGCAATCTATGAATTCAATGCAATCCCCATCAAAATACCACCATAATTCTTCACAGAATTAGAAAAAAAAATTCTAAAATTAATTTGAAACCAAAACAGAGCCCACATAGCCAAAGCAAGACTAAGCAAAAAGAACAAATCTAGTGGCATCACTCTGCCTGATTTCAAACTATAAGGCCATAGTCACAAAAACAGAATGGTACTTGTATAAATATAGGCAGAGTGTTAACATAAATATAGACTTGCATAAATATAGACTAACAGAAACTCAACATCAGCCATTGTTCACTATACATACTTTTAATGTACCTTAAGGTTTTCCTATTTCTAACACATTATTTTTCTGCCATACCAAGGTAAGAAATGTTGCAGCCAGTGGTTATTTTGTTTTTAATCATAATATTTAATGGCTTTTTCTGCTGTAGAAATTTTTTAAGCTATTACTTTTATCTAAATCCCTTCCCTTATTTTGACTGACATATTAATTAACTGGGTAAAAATTTTTACAACCACATCTCATTATGAATATGAATCAATGTATCCCTCCCATCATATTATTAAGGCTCAACCTCCTCTTCCTTTACCCAGATGACAAGCTGACAAAGAGAAAAGCTTTAATTCTATTTTTTTTTCTTGGTGGGAAAATGATGATACAATGGAAAACTTATGTGCTCATTTCATCCAATTCTAACTTACGGTCCTGAGCACTCTAACAGTTTGGAGGTCGTTCTTATCTGAGTTTATGGCATGTGTAGATTTTGTTAACAAAATAAAGTTAGTATTAGTCAGATAAAAATATCAAGTACAAATCTGTGGTTTCATTCTACAAAAACACGCATCTCACTAGAAAAAGCTGATTAGCATTTCGGATCATATGTCCATATTTTTTTTAAAAGTATTATCAGGCTTCTAGGGGTTGAGTCAAATAAATGCTAAGTTGGAGCCAGCCTCCACTGTTCTACTAGCTCTTATCTACCTTTTCCAAACCTACATTCTGAAGTATAATGCATGTCAGTTATCTCTTCCCCAGGTCAGGTGATTTACATGATCTTGGAACACACATTTCAAGTATTCGAGGTGGTCTTTACTATCCACCTATGTCCAGCTTCCAGAGACTTACCCACCTTCAGCTTCTTGCAGAGCACATTGAACCTCTCCATCTCAGAGCTGCCGGTAAAAAGTGGAAGTGAGAACAAATGTGCTTTTCTTCTTCTCTGTCCTAATACTACCAAAAAATTATAGTTTAAAAGTCCAAAAAGGGCCGGGAGCGGTGGCTCACACCTGTAATCCCAGCACTTTGGAAGGCGGAGGCGGGCGGATCACGAGGTCAGGAGATGAGACCATCCTGGCTAACACGGTGAAACCCCGTCTCTACTAAAAATACAAAAAATTAGCCAGGTGTGGTGGCGGGTGCCTGTAGTCCCAGCTACTCGAGAGGCTGAGGCAGGAGAATGGCATGAACCCGGGCGGCGGAGTTCGCAGTGAGCGGAGATCGCGCCTCTCCACTCCAGCCTAGGTGACAAAGCAAGACTCCGTCTCAAAAAAAAAAAAAAAAAAAAAAGTCCAAAAAGGGCCGGGCGCGGTGGCTCACGCCTGTAATCCCAGCACTTAGGCAGGCCAAGGCGGGCGGATCACGAGGTCAGGAGATCTAGACCGTCCTGGCTAACACGGTGAAACCCCGTCTCTACTAAAAATACAAAAAATTAGCCGGGCGTGGTGGCGGGTGCCTGTAGTCCCAGCTACTCAGGAGGCTGAGGCAGAAGAATGGCTTGAACCCGGGAGGCGGAGCTTGCAGTGAGTTGAGATCCCATCACTGCACTCCAGCCTGGGCGACAGAGCTAGACTCCGTCTCAACAACAACAATAACGAAAAAGTCCAAAAAGATAGAAATATCTTATTAAGAAGAGTATGAGAAGAGTACCATCAGTAGAAGGAAAATACATTTTTAGAAGGCAACAAAATAATTAATTAAAAATGAATAATAATATTAATAGTTAGCAAAGCCAGCCTGAGAAAAACTTAGCTTTGAGCTAGTGAAGGCAGAGGATATAATCCAGAAGGTGCAAGCTGATGTAGCAGAAACGCAAGAAGCCTCAGGATCAGACTATCCAGGGACTAAAGGCAGTGGGATGAGACTTGGAGATCCATGGTGTGGAAAAGTGGACCTCAGTCCCATACTTCTCCCCATTTGAGAATGCAAAATATCTAAGGAGTTAAATAATTTCCTCCGAGGCAAAATAGGGTGAGTGAAAGCTTCTATTCAAAGAAAGATGGATATTTTCCCAACAAAGGCCTCACATTTCTGGAATTTGGAAAGTGTCTGCACAGAGGCCAGTTCCCCAACTACTGACACAGAAGTGAAGTTCATTAAGAGGAAAGCCCACCCAGAACACGGAGTACCCCCACAGGTTTTTCCAATGAAAAGAGGAGAATTTGGAGAGAAAATCCTGGGAAGCATCCTCAGAGAATTTTTAAAATATATTCAATTCATACAGCATGAATAGCATGTTAATGAAAAGTGAATAGAAAACAAGGGAACGTCCTCCAGAAAACTTGAAGAAATTATGAAATTAATATTCTTTAGAAGGGATGGGAACTAATTGTAACAAAGAAATGGAAATATCAGAGAAATATCTGTAAAATAAAAAATGATCTAACCAAGTGGTCCAATGTAAGAATTAAAAGGCATCACACAAGGAAAAAAAATGAAAAAAAAAAAAAATCAAAACAGTAATACCTGAGAGACCGCTGTAGTTGGAATCCAGCTGTGATCTTGGTTCATGTCTCTCATCTAAGTTATAATTTTTATCCTCACTCTTTTCTCTGCTTTTCTCAGAATCATATGACTAGAAAGTTTTTTTCTTCAATCCACCAACTAAGTTACTCTATATTAACCAAATAGATACTTATTTTATGTTAGCTAAAATATTATTTTTTTTTCTAAAAATTATATATACAAATGCACATATTCTATATATGTATAAAAACATGTATATTCTATGTACACATAGAGATATGTTCAAATGAATGTTCTATATCAGGTATATATTTTGTAGACAAATATTCTAATATATCTCTATATACAGTTTTTGTAAAAATAAAAAATATAAATTAATGGAAATCAAGACATTTATAACAATTTTTGCAATGTACAGTCTTGAGCCTCTTGCTACAGGCAAATTAATTAAGTAGATCAGATGGTAGATACCAGTGTTGCATGGGTTGTTTTGGTAGTCTTTTAAATTTGAAGGCTTTTCCTTCAATTACTCTTATGATCTGTCAATTTTTGCCATTCTTTGTCCTTAAATCCTCTTAAAAAGGGCCATCACTGCTAAAAGTTTCCTATATATAAAACATAATAAACATATATAGTGTATATTCATATATAAGCATGTATAGTTGTATGTTTTACTTAAAATATAATATAAAAACTTTATGCTGTCAAGGTAGGTGCCAAACTTTATTAAATATTAGTTCATTTTTAAGACCCTATTGAAAGATACAAAGAGTCGGAGAGGGAAGACCACAACAAAACCACTATTAGATAATTTAATACCCCTGAAAGTGAGCATTATAGGCTTCTTTCCACACATATGTGAATGTAGAAGTTATTTTTATATAATATCATAAAACACATATTATTTCCACTTTTAAAATATTAACTTTTAATTTAAATAAAACTGAAGAAAATGACGGAAGTGACAAGTTTTCTGAATATCTTTTCACAAAAATATGGTAGTTTCTGAAATAAAATATTTCTAAAGTTATGAAGGATGCAGCCGTAGAATATTGAAGAATCTACTTTTTGGATTCCATGTTTAGATTACCTACATCAGTTATTGACTGTGAGGTATGGAAGTTGAGAAAATTATCATTGTTAACAATTATTTCTAATTTTTTAGCCCCCACTTCTCAATACTGTGTTTGAAAGTTTATTATTATTTCTATTCTCCTAAATTTTTGAACATTTAAATTGTTCTTTTATAACATTTACACCCAAATTTTAGGCTTATTTATATACCTCCAGTTACTTTAATATAATTCAGTTGAACAACTTGAATTATGTTTTTAAAGAGAGTTATATTTTTTAAACTCTCTTTTTTTAAATAGATTTTTCCTTTCAGAAGAGTAAATGAATGGGCATTTTATAAGAAATTTCATTAATTTTTTTAAAATAATAAAATCCAATATACACACAAAAATATTTAAAATAAATCACAAAGAGTAATAAATGCATAAAGTCAACATCCTTATAACTGCATCAAAATATAGACCAGAACTCTGATTATAAACCTCTTTTGCCCCCTAGAGGTAATACTATAGTTACAAGTATAAAATTTACATTGAAGTTATTTATATTTTATAATTTTTCTGTGTTTCCTTAAGATATCATTTAGTTTTTCTGCTTTGGAATTGAATACATATTGACTCAAATTATGTGGTTTTTGGTTGTGGTTCTTTATTTCTGAATTAATAATTTGTTTTCATTGTTGTACAGTATTCCATTGAATGACTGTGCTATAAATTATTCATTTATTATTTGATAGTCACTTCTGTTGATTCCTGGTCTTGTGTGTCATACAATGCTGCTGCGAACATTCTTCTGTGTCTACCTAGGTATGCATGTATATGACTTCCTCTCTCATCTACATCCAGGAGTGAAACAGTTGGATCATAACCTACATATTACTTCCATTTAGCTAGATAATGCCAAAGTGTTTACCAGGCTAGAGATTTACACGATCATAGAGAAATGTATAAGATATCCCATTGTTCCACATCCTCATAAAGAAACAGCAACTCTGGTTACAAATGAAATTGAACAGCTTTTTAATTTATTTCATTGGCTATTTGGATTTCTTTTTATGTGAAGTGCCATATTTCTATTTGGTCATCTCTCTCTTATTGGTTTATTCTAACTCTTTGTTCCAGGTTGGGCTAATTCCTTCTTATCTTCTTAGGTTTCCAATGAGAGATTTTTTTAAAGTTCATTCATGCGTCCTTTCTAGTTACTGTCATGAGAAAATTATCTAAATAACCTTCTAGATGAAAATGTATTTTTCACTATCTGGAAGGTTTTTTGAATCACCTCGTACAGTAATGTTCTAAAATTTCACAACAATCTGTCATTGGTTGACTTTTTTAAAAAATTACTTTACTGAGGTGTGATTGACATACACTAAACTGTACATATGTGATATATATAACTTACTGGATTTGGAGATAAGTATAAGCCCATGAAACCATCACCACAATTTATGCCATAAACATATCCATCACCTCTAAAAGTTTCCTCCTGCTCCCTTTATTATTATTGTTATTATATTATTGTGACAAGAATACTTAACACAAGATCTATCCTCAGCAATTTTTAAGTATACAATACAGTATTATCAACTATACGCATTATGCTGTACAATAGATCTCTAAGACTTACTTAACTTACATAACTGAAACTTTATACCCTTTGATTAATACTTCTGCATTTCTCCCTCGCGTTAGTCCCTAGCAACCACTATTCCCTTCTCTGCATCTATGAGTTTGACATTAGACCCCTCGTATAAGTTGGATCATATAGTATTTGTCCTTCTGTGACTTGCTTACTTCACTCAGCATAATGTCCTCCAGGTTCATCTATGTTGTTGCATAGACAAGGATTTACTTCTTTTTGGAGGCTGAAAAATATTCCACTGTATGTATATATCAGATTTTCATTATTCATTTATCTGTCAATGGACACTTAGGTTGCTTTCATGTCTTGATTTTTGTGAATAATGCTTAAATGAACATGGGTATACAGATATATCTTCAAAATCCTGATTTCAATTCTTTTGAATATATATCCAGAAGTAGGATTGCTAGATCTCACGGTAGTTCTACTTTTATTTTTTTGAGGAACTTCCAACTATGTTCCATGGTGGCTGCACCAATTTACATTTTCACCAACAGTGTACAAAGATTTCTTTTTCTCCACACCCTCACCAATACTTATTATCTCTTACATTTTTAATAATACCCGTCCTAACAAGTGATATTTCATTGTGGTTTTAATTTGCATTTCCCTGATGATTAGTGATGGTACGCACCTCTTCATGCACCTGTTGGATGTTTATCTGTCTTCTTTGGAGAAATGTCTATTCAGGTCCCTTGCTGATTTTTAAATCAGATTATTATTTTTGTGATTGAGTTGTAGAAGTTTTTCACATATTTTGGATATTAACTATCAAATGTTTGATTTGCAAATATTTTCTCCCATCCCATAGGCTGCGTTTTTGTTTTATTTTCTTTGCTCTTCAGAAGTTTTTAATTTAATACAGTCCCTCTGTCCATTTTCAATCTTGTTTCTTGTGTCATTTGGTGTCATATCAATGACATAATTGCCAAAGCCTATGTGAAATAGATTTTCCCCTATATTCTCTTCTGGGAGTTTAATGGCTTCAGGTCTTATGCTTAAGTCTTTATTTTGAGTTTATTTTTGTGTACGATGTAAGATAAGTTACTAATTTTATTCTTTTGCATGTGGAAATCCAGTTTTCCCAATACCATTTATTTAAGGGACTATTGCTTTCCCAATGCTTATTCTTGGCACCCTTGTAGAAGATGACCTGACAATATGTGTGTTGGTTTATTCCTTGGCTCTTTATTCTGTTCTGTTGTTCTATATGTCTGTTTTTTATGTATCATTTTATTTTGATTACTGTAGCTTTGTACTATAGTTTGAAATCAGTAGCTTTTGTTTCTCCAGCTTTGTTCTTTTTGTTCAGAATTGCTTTGCCTATTTAGGGTCTTGTGCTTCTGTATAAATTTTAGTATTTCTTTATTTCTGTAAAAATGCTTTTGCGATTTTGATATGGATAGAAATGAATTTGTAGATCACTTTTAGTAATGTGGACATTTCAATAATATTAATTATTTTGATCCATGAACACGGTATGTTTTTCTATTTCTATGGGTATGGCTTAATATAGTGAGGTGTTTTGTGCTGACCATTGAGTGTGCTCTTTCATTCAAAAGGTTCGTGTCCTTTAACTCTAATACTGTTGAGTCTCATTATTCATGGATTCCATGTTGAAAAATTCATCTACTCACTAAAATTTATTTGTAACCCCCAAATCAATACTTGAGGCACTTTGGGGTCATTCACGGACATGTGCAAAGCAGCAAAACTTGTGTTGGCAGATGGGGACCTTCCCAGCCTAGGCCATCCAAAACATTGTTGTGCCTTCTTGTTTCACTCCTTATACTGTAAGCAACTCTATTTTTCATAGTCTATTTAGTTCCTCACTTATCATATTTTTTACCCTTTTTTTAGTGATTTAACTGTCTAAGATGGCCCCTAAGTGTAGTGCTAAAGTGCTGTGTAGCATTACTTATACAAAAAAGCTGTTATATAGCTTACAGGAAAAATACTCATGTTAGATAAACTTCATTCAAGCATGAATTATAGTGCTGTTGGCTGTGAGTTCAATGTTAGTGAATCAACAAGATGGTACATATAGAAAAATGTAGACAAATTTTACCAATCTGTGTGTGAGACTGCTCCAGAAAGTAAGGCAACGTCTACAGTGCATAGTAAACTTACTTAAAAGATGGGAAAGCAGCTAAATTTGTGGATTCATGAGGTGATGACCCATTTTTAAAAAGGGTATTTGATAGCATTATTGTAAGGCTGAAAGCCAAAAAAAATTTATGGTTACATTACCCAGGGTCGGGAAAATGTTAAACTACTGGCAACTGGTGCTGGCTTGCTGGCTTGCACATTTCAAAAGGAGATAGAGCATGAAAAATGTTCAACTTACAGATAAGGCAGATTCTGCAAGTCAGTAGACTGTAGTAGAATCTTTAAAATACCTGCTAAGTGTTGTTATTCAGGAAAAGGGTTTTACGGAAGAGTAGATTTCCAACAATAAAAAGACTGGATGGTTTATAAGGAAAGACCTTGTTGGCAAATGAATCTATATAATGTAAATGGCATTTCAATTAATAAAAATGTGACCAGAGGCTTGTATAAATATAACTCTGTATTTCTCCTAAGAGCAATGGGTCAGCATTTTCTAATTCAGTATCCACAGTAACCTTCTAGAACATTACTTGGTGAATGATGAGAATCGACTGTATGTGTAGTAGGAGTTTCAGCTAAAAATGAACTTTATAGTTCCCTTCCAAGTTAACCAAGGTATAAGATTATTTCATACTAATGCCATTAATTAAAAAACTACCACAAAAAAGAGTATTTAAGATGGATAGAAGATCTTTACTAACTCCAATACTAAGAAAGACTGCCAGAGTGTACAATTGGTTGAGCAGAAGACAAAGGAAGAGATCAAATGAGGTAGGATATAACTTGTCTATCAAACTATAGAGAACCCATAACATGAACAACATCGGGGACACTATCTATTGGTGATTAATATCAATTAACCAAGTGTTTATGTATCTATAATCTACTTAATAGAATCAATACATGGAAGGATTATTTAGGAACTGTCATCATCCTGATGACTTTTGTAAATTGGCTTGTTTCTTTTTCATATGGCAGCCCATAGCAATGAATATTTCTCCTGCATCTTGCTGGGGAAAAACGACTTGAGCCCACTGAGATGGTAGAAGATGGATGTCAGCAGAGTATATTGGTAAGAGTTATCCTGGCAAAAGTAATCTTGAGAGGTACAGGATGGACATCTTAAGGTGTTTGGGCATGTGACATGCTCAAGGTATGATTCTTAAATTTACTTTTATGTCTTAAAAGGGTAGAACTAGAAGCTCTAATTGAAAAGTTACAAAGAGAAAGATTTCAGCTAACTATTAGGGTTAACATTTGAAAAGATATATTCATTCAACAATAAAATTGACTGCTTTGAGCCACTCCGTTTTTCCCTTCACTGTCATAATTAATCAGAGATAAAGTGGGATTTTGACGGGGGAGTATAAAAGGAATTTTCCTTTGGGTAGAAGGATGTACGAAATTATGTTTAAGTTCCTCCTTGCTTTTCTAGTACAGTGTACTATTCTTATTATGAAAACTGTATTAACACAAGTCAATAAATAAATACTTAAGATAATGAGCAATGTGAGTAGATAAAAAAAGTTAGGTAAATATGACCTTTAATAAAACCCACTTGCTTTATATTCATAATTTGCTATGGGACACTGCTACATTTTTTGGAATAAAGAAACAATCTTTCTTTCAAAAATGATCCAGTAGAGAATTATAAAACAGAAAGAACTGAAGGGTGGATAGCAACAGTAACCACAGGGGTAATTGGGAAAAATAAAGGATGGATGCACAGGATTAATTAAATTACAAATGCAATTACTTCAGGGGAAACTAAACACAGGCAACAGAACAAATAGTCATTCATCAATAATTGCATTTAATTCATTATCTAGAAGTTTAAGGGATTGGTCCTCTGGAGCCAGACAGAAATGAATTTATCTATCAGTACCACCATCTCTAACTTTGTGCCTTTATCTCTAAGAGTAACACCTCTAACCCCTCACTTTTGCATTTGTGAAAACAAATAAATAATGACTTATCAAATTGCTATAAAGATTATATTAGATAACTCATGTATAGGCCTTAGTACAGAACCAAGCACGGTGCCAAAATTTCAGCAACAGCAATAACATCAATAGTATTGACATCACCGTATCTGTCTAGGAATACCAGGAATGATTTTATTGAAATGATAGCATAAAAGCAGGTTTCTAAAGAAAAGCTAAGCATTAGACAGATATGAAATGGGAAGAAGAAAATAGTCCTGGTGACTAACATAACCACAGCGGGAAAAAGAAACCTTATATTCTGTAAGAGTTGATGGAGTTTGTTTGCTAGTCTGATGACTGACTCCATAAAACCAACAATAATGAAAATTCCACTTTTCCCATTGCTCAAAAAAAGAAAAAAAAAAAAAGGTTCAGTGTCGTTATTGACTCTGCTCTTTTTCTAACATCCCACATTTGTAAAAAAATGCTGCTTGCTCACCTTCAGTTTTTTTTTTAAAATGGGACTACTCATCACTACCAGCATTACCATGTCACCCTGTCACCACCCTGGGCACAGAAACTTACGTGATTTTTTGAAATACCTCATGCTAAGAAACCCTATCCAAAACTTTTAAATCAAAAAGACATTATGCCTTTTCAACATGTTATAGGAACGTTGCTTAACAAGCCCCATCAAGGAATATTTCATTTTGAACAAGACAGCCTGAATGTACCCCCCACCTTGACCATATTATACAGTCTTCTTCCTGAGTCAAGGCCTCCAATTTCTCCTCTCTTGGAGCATTACTTTAGAAAACTTGTAAATTATTTCTATGTCCTGTTAAGAACATACAATTTTTTAAAAAGATTCTTAACAGTTTTATGGTGTAGGAATATCTTTCTCAAGAATCAGGCAGCCATTTTAAAAAATGTAGTCATCAAGGCAGATAGAGATCCTATCTTCTAGCCTGTGTGGAAAGGCACGTGTCTTTGATTTTGTGAGAGGTAAATATTAACTTGTATTTCTGTTATTTTTTGTGAGAGGTAAATATTAACTTGTATTTCTGTCCAATAAAAAAGATGCCCTAAAAGGTTAAACAAATAATCGTAGTAAATTTTAAGAAATTATTCTAAAATATAAAGGCTATTTTTGATTTTAAAACCCTGAGAAAAACCAGGAAGAAATGAAAGATAATTTCCTAGGCCTCATAAAGGCCATGCAGCAAAATTCTACTACTAAAATTGTACTTAACAATGAGACAATTTTTCCCTTTAGTATCAGAAACAAGACAAGAATGTCTGCTCCTACCACTTTTATATAACATCTTCCTGGGGATTCTAGGCAGTGCAATAAGACAAGAAAATAGAAGGCATCAAAACTGGAAAGAAAGATATAAAATTGTCTTTATTTAGATATTACACAATTGCCAACGTGGAAACTTCTATGGAATCTATGAATTAACTATTGGAACTAGTAAGTGAGTTTAGAAAAGTTATAGCATTTAAGATCTATATTCTAATATCAATAATATTTCTATGCACTTGCAACAAATAAATAAAAATTTAAAATTTTAAAATACCATTTAATATGGCACTAAAAATATTGAATGTTTAAGGATATATCTTCCATAAGATAAGTAAGACCTATACACTGAAAACTGCCAAATTCTTCCAGAGAAATTTAAAAAATAAGAGGAGACAATGACCATGTCTGTGGAACAAGAAACTCAATGTTGTCAGTTCTTCCCAAATTTGTCTGTGAATTCAGTGCAACTTCAAGCAACATCCTCATAGGTTTTGCTTCATTTTTTTTAGAAGTTGACAAAATTATTTTAAATTTCTAACAGAAATACAGGGGGCCTACAAAACTAACAATTTTGAAAAAAAAAAATTATAGACACCTGTCAATTTTAACTCTTGATATTTTTCTTCCTTGTCTCCCCTTTCTTCTAGCCCATCTGCTTATTCTTCTCTTCTTGCAACTCATGTGTGTCAGATGTCAGACATCCTTGAATATATCTTATATATTTTTGCATGCATTCAGTATCTTTATTATCTCATACTATCTCATAAATAATAAAATATTCCTTTCTATTTGAAATTTCCTAGAAGCAACATGCAGAGAAAGCTCAGAAAACTAAATTGTGAATACGGAATGAAATATAACCTCCTAATCCTTGTAAAAGTACAAAGGACCAAAGGCATAAAATTTAACCCAGTGAAAAACATGGTGGAATTGTAAACATGAATAATCACATCTTTTGGAGCCATGAAACTAGCTACTAGGGAGGGTATAAGAAAAGATGATGTAATTATATTGTACAGAGTTTTAGATATAATTTTAAAAGAAAACATAACAATGTAACTATCAGAAATAGAGGAAGTAACTAAGGGGAGCATAAGAGAGGGAAATTTTCATGTATCATAGCAAGAATCTATAGAAAATGCCATACATTCACAGATAAAGAAATAAATATAAAAGAATATTATTAAGCATTATAGCGATAATCACAAGAACTGAAAACAGAAACAATTTAAAATTTTATATATTTTATGAGAGTCTTGGTTGTGAACAGAAGTATTAGATATCTTAAAATATGCATTTATGTATTATGCTTTTATTATTATGTTAACAGTTTAAATATTAAGAGTTGAATTTAAAAATGTATATTTATTTTGTAATGAAGCAAACTGTATTATAAGTACTTGAATAAAATAAAATATTATACGTATAATATTTAAATAAAATATATAGCTTTCAAGAACATAAAATAAACTATTTTAATAGGGAATAACTATAATTCAATAAAACTATACTGCTTTACAGATAAATGATATAGAATAATCAGAAATACAGACAAATATGTATATAATAATGTTGCTACAATTTTTATAAAAAAATAGAAAAATAAATGTTCAACAATGAGGAAATTCTTTAAAATATTATGAAATACCAGCAGATCTTTACAACTATGTTCTTTAAAAATTCCAAATTACATGAGAAAAAAATGGCTATATGGTAGCAGATTAAAAAATCACTATCAAAGTTTGTGTACACAAATAACACCAAATGACAAAGAAGAAATACTTAAGATTTAATACAATCTTGTAAGCAGTTACCCTTGGTTAATAGAACATTTGATATACATTTACCATTACAGCTTTCTATGATTTAAATTTTTTGTATGATAATTAAGTAATACTTTTGTAACAAGACAAAATAATAATTATATAAATAAACATTTTTAAAAATACAATAACTAATGCCTAGAGCTCAGAATGATGCCACAAATCAGTTGGAATTTTTCAACTCACTAAGATGTTACTGACTTTCTGCCAACTGCTTAACTCAATTTTATATTGCTGCGTGGTTTATGTCAATGCTTTATTCACAAGACGCTGGTTAATTTTCTCTGTGAACTCTGTGTCCTTGATGTCTCTAAAGTTTTAAATTGCAAAAGAGCTTGTGAATTAGACAAGAGCTAGTTCTCTGATCTCCTGACACTATGATGCAGATTTGAATTAGATTCAGAAGAAGCTGTGAAGCATGGGTAATGATAGCTCTTTTTAATATTGAAATAAAAATTATTTTTTCTCAGAAAATTGAGTGGAGAAGAGGCCAAGGAGATTTGATGGGCAGAAAGTAAAAATTTTATTTTTATGTGCATAAAGCTATTTCTTAGAGAAAACAATGAAAATGATACATTTATTCAGAAAATTTAAATAACATATATAATAAAAACATTCTATAGTTTGGATATTTCAAGTGGACCCTTATTTGGGGATAAATTTCTATTTTGTACTTTATTAACTCTGCAGTGAAGACTCAATCTATTTCTGTTTTACTTTGTTTTTCAGTTTACACCTTTGGTGTACTGATGTTTTTGAAAATATAATAAAAATAAATTACTAGAAAAATGATCACATATCTATATCATGGCGATGTTAATTTCAATAAATTTCTAAACGTTTACTCTCATCTTCTAAGTGTATCTCGTGAGCTAGTAACAGTTCGTAAATCATCGCAGTCCAAGACTGCCCTTCCTGTACCACTGCTCGCAATAATTCCAGATGTTCTCTCTTGCACGTATGAATGCAAATTCCCCTATTCACTTATTTAACAAGTTTCAAAAAAATAAATTCAAAGAGTGCATGCATTTTAAATGTAATTCATTTGTACCTAATACTAATTTCCAGTTTCAGAAGGTCCTACATAAATATACTCAGTTGGGTTGAAGCTATTACTAGATAGCTGTAGATTAAAAAAATAAATAATGCAAGTTCAACTAAATACCTTCTTTGGAAATATGCAGATGCTTCTTGACTTACAGTGGGGTTATGTCTGGATAAACCATTGTAAATTGAAAATTTCTTTATGTTGAAAATGCATTTAATACACTTAACCTACTGAACATCATAGCTCAGTCTAGCCCACCTTCAACATGCTCAAGACACTAGCATCAGCCAACAGCTTGGAAAAATCATCTAACAGAAAGCCTATTTTATAATAAAGTCTTGAATATTTCATGTGACTATTAAATATTGTATTGGAAGTAAAAAACCAAAATGGTTGTATGGGTACTCCCAGTACAGATTCTACTGAATGAGTATCACTTTTGCATCATCATTAAGTCAAAAAAATCTTAAGTTGAATCATGAAAAGTTGGGGATCATCTGTAGTAGAAAATTTGTGTTCTTTGTAGAGACTGCACAAGATAAAATTGAATGAGTAAATAGCTTTCTTTCATGATACATTTAGTCATGATTTGAGATAATAAAAACAAGTAACTTTTTCCAGACTTACATATTTCCCATGCATACCTAAAACCTACATGCCAAGGTTTCTCTCTCTCTCTCCTTCTCTCTCTGTCTCTCTTCTTCTCTCTCCAATCATCCCTCCAAAGACTCAGAGAATTGATCCCAGGATCGCCCATACCCAGTGCCACCCCATACCAAAATCAGCACATACTCAATCAAGTCTCACAGTTGGCCCTGCAGAACCTGCATAAACAAAATGGCAGCCCTCCCTACATGTGGGTTTCAGATCCCATGAATACTGTGTTTTTGATGTGAATTTGGTTGAAAAAAGTTGCTTATAAGTGGACCCTGAAACTCAAGGGTTAACTGTGTGTGTATTTAGATATACATATATACAATTTTGTATGTGTACACATTTATGTATACATACATCTGCCTATACACATGGTTATATGTATAATATATACACAGACACACAAACACAAACATGCTATATGCATTTTTTTCTGGAAGATGAATTACTATTAATGAGAGTGCCACAGTATGTTGCATTTATAAACACAATCTTCGTAGTTGGGGTTGGGCTTGAGTTATGTCATTAACTAGCTGTGTGACAGTGAGCTAGTAACTTGACCATGCAAAGCTTTAATGAAACAATTATAATTATCAGAAAGAAAGCGTGATTAATGAGACGTATTATGCAAATTCTCATTATAGTGTTTGGCCTTAGAAAATGCTCAATATATGATAGGCATTAGGATCATTATTGGCACATTCACTGATTACTAGTTAATGAGCTTGCTGCAATTCAGAAGTAAACATAGCAGTCATATGTACACCAAGTATACAGTTATGCATATGAATACAAGCAGAGTAAGTGATGTTTCAAGCTGTTATCAGTGATTTCAATTTGCCCATGAATTGAATCCAGACTGGTGGGACGAGGGTCAGGGAGAAGAAGCCTTGAGGTAAAATACAATCAGAGATGGTGTGAAAGGATGTAGAATGACCTCTTCTCAACCCAAATTTCTTACACACTTCACATTTTGCTACCTATCAGCCTTATAGTGATTTTGGCAGCATACATGAAACTTGAGTTTTATATGGTTTGAACCTCCAAATCACAGGGAAGCTAAGCACTTTAGCAGTTTCACCCAGTGTTATTTTTCTTATGATAAATTTTATTGCTTACTCCTATTTCTCACAACTCTGCCCAGCAGCAGGAAGAAAATGGCTACATGTGTGAGACAGAAGAAAGGATGCAATTCTAATAATAAAATCATCACAGTTATGAGTTTTGTTTGCTTGTTATGGTTTAAATAAAGACAAAAAATTATCTTCTAATGTTTGAGTTAGTTGTAATTTTCTGGGATCTGTATTTTCTTGCTTTTTAAGGAAAGTTACCTTCTAAGTTTAGATATTAAGATTCATTTTTGGCCGGGCACGGTGGCTCACGCCTGTAATCCCAGCACTTTGGGAGGCCGAGGTGAGCAGATCACAAGGTCAGGAGATCAAGACCATCCTGGCCAACATGGTGAAACCCCGACTCTACTAAAAATAAAAAAATTAGCTGGATATGGTGGCATGAACCTGTAATCCCAGCTATTCAGGAGGCTGAGGCAGGAGAATCGCTTGAACCGAGGAGGTGGAGGTTGCAGTGAGCCGAGATCACACCACTGCATTCCAGTCTGGTGACAGAACTAGACTCCAGCTCAAAAAAAAAAAAAAAAAAAGATTCATTTTCATGCAGATTTTTATTTTGGGACACAGTGTCTGCTTTAGCTCTTTCAAAGATTCAAAAACTGTAGTTTCTATTACACTGTGTATTGTTTCAGATTCCTAGCCTGTAGTTCTATTCAATCATTTGAAAACGTCGTTCTGTTAACACCCACCATTAATTTTGGTTCCATTTTTATATTTTCAACATCAAATGATTTATCACAATTCAGGAAAGACAGTAATCTTTTATCTCAATTTTCCTTCTACTATGCACCTAATATGTTGCCTGATTTCTTTTCAGCTATAAATGAATGATAAGCAATCTGTCCTTAGCTGCCAGCATTCTTTCATTAAACTATCATTCCCTCATTCCGTTTCCTTAGATACTTGTATATATTTCAAATTTTGATGTTTACTCCTTGATTTAGAGCCTCAAGATGAATCACTAGGGAGCCATTGTTTAAAATATAGTCATACATCACCCAATGACATTTCTGTCAACAATAGACCACATATATGATGATGGCCTCATAAGTTTATAATAGAGATGAAAAATTCATAGTATCTAATGATGTTGTAGCTGTCATAATGACATAACACAACATATTACCTTTTATATGTTTAGGTATATTTAGAAACACAAACACTTATCACGGTGTTACAATTGCTTCCAGTATTGAGTTCGGTAATATGCTGTACAGATATATAGCCAAGGATCAATAAACTGTACCATATAGCCTAGGTGTATAGTAGCCTATAACATTTAGATTCATGTAAGTACATAGAGTATACTTACATGAGTACCACTCTATGTACTTACATGAATCTAAATGTTATAGGCTACTGAACACACACAATACTGAAACTGCTTAATGATGCATTTCTCAGAACATATTACCATCAAGTGAATTATGACTGTATGTATGAGATTATAATAAGCTAATATGATGAAGTAGTACAGAATCAAACTTCTTGAGTTCTAACTTTAACTCCAACCATTAGGCTGTGGGACCTTGAGCAAGGTAATTAACTCGGCTTTCTCTTCTGTAAGGTAAGGGTAATAATAGTACCTACCTTGTAAGGTTAAGGATTAAATGCTTTAATGCAAATTAAAATTATCCTGTGTTTGTACATAGTTAAATAATTTAGAAATAACAACTATTATTAACATCCTGTTTTTCACACATGGCTTCTAAGGATGGAATCTTTACAATAAATTCAGGTCTCTACATCTTAATGGATCTTTTGGGAAAATGTTAACTTCATATTGGCTTTTATATCTAATTCTAATCCATGATTACTCTGCATAGTGGAAATGGTGCTCAAAAGGTTCAATCTCTCTCCTATGGTCACAGATCAGATAGTCTTTAATTTATTCTTCTTCAGTTCGTTCTAGACTTAAGAATCAAAACTAAGTGACACAATATGTAGTTGTGATGGCCTCTCTTTCGACAATGGTAAAATCTCTAAGAGTAAGAAAATAAGCATTATATTTATAAGTGTAGCCATGAGATTAAAAAAAATCAACATCATCAAAAGCATAAGGGAGGCTAAAATGGTTCCCCCATGCCTCTAATCCAGCCTCAAGATCTGATTTCTAAGTACAAGCAACCCTTCAAATCTTACTTACTGTACTCAAAAATTCAGTAAAATTCTTCAACACTGCCCAATGAACATTGACAGTTCTATATGAAACCATGTCTCAATTTCTAGCACACATGGTACAACCCTGGATCCATCAACAGTGCTCTTTGCTGTTTCTCAGTGATTTTACTGCCTTTTCTTCTCTGATTTTAGTGAGAACTTACTGTCTCCAAAAGCTATCTGGGCAAGCTGCAAACCCTATGATTACAATCATGTCTTATTTTATTGTTTTTCTCTCTACTGCACTGTGAAGATATTGTGTTTTATACAAATTGAAGGTTTGTGGCAACCCTGTGTTAAGCAAATCTATTGGCATCATTTTTCCAAGAGCATGTGCTCAATTCATGTCCTATGTTACATTTTGGTAATTCTCACAGTATTTCAAACTTTGATTATTATTATTATTATTACTACTATATTTGTTATGATGATCTGTGATCAGTGATCTTTGATGTTACTTTTGTAATTGTTTCGAGACATCACAAACCATACCCACATAACATGGCGAACTTAATAAATGTTGTGTGTGTTCTGACTGCTCCACCAACTGGCTGTTCCCTCATTTCTCTCCCTCTCTTCAGGCCTCTGTATTCTTTTGAACACTATAATATTGAAATTAGGCCAATTAATAACCCTACAAGGGTCTCTAAATGTTCAAATGAAAGGGATAGTCACACATTTCTTATTTTCAATCAAAAGCTACAAATAATTCAGCTTAGTAAGGAAGGCATGTCAAAAGCTGAGACAGGCTGAAAGCAAGCCTTCTTGTGCCAAACAATTAACCAAGTTGTGAATGCAAAGGAAAAGCTCATAAAGTAAATTAAAAGTGGTACTCCAGTGAATACGCAAGTGATACAAAAGAGAAACAGCCTTATGGTTGACATGGAGAAAGTTCAGTGATCTAGATAGAAGATAAAATCATTCACAACATTACCTTAAGACAAAGCCTAATCCAGACAAAGATCTTAACTCTCTTCAATTCTGTGAAGGCTGAGAGAGATGAGGAAGCTGTAGAAGAAATTTTGAAGCTAGCAGAGGTTGGTTTATGAGGTTTAACAAAAGAAGTCATCTTCATAACATAAAAGTGCAAGGTGAAACAGGAAGTGCTGATGTAGAAGCTGCAGCAAGTTATCCAGAAGCTAGCTAAGATAATTGATGAAAGTGGCTGTAATAAACAACATATATAGTAAAATATCAAAAAAACAGCCTTCTTTTGGAAGAGATGCCATCTAGGACTTTCATCACTAGAGAGAAGTCAATGATTGGCTTCAAAGCTTCAAAGGACTGGCTGAAACTCTTGTTAGGGGCTAATGTAGCTGATGACTTAGAGTTAAAGCCAATGCTTATTTACCATTCTGAAAATCCTAGGGGCTTCTAAGGATGGGATTAGCATAATAATTAATATATTAAGAATTATGCTAAATTTACTTTGACTGTGATCTATAAATAGAACAAAAAACCCTGGATAACAGCACAGATGTTTACAGCATGGTTTACTAAATATTCTAAGCCCACTGTTGAGACCTATTGCTCAGAAATAAAGATTTACTCCAAGTATTACTTCTCACTGACAATGCACCTGATCACCCAAGAGCTCTGATGGAGATGTACAAGATTAATGTTGTTTTCATGCATGCTAATACTACATCCATTCTGCAGCCAATGGATCAAGGAGTAATTGTACTTTCAAGTCTTATTATTTAAGAAATACATTTAATAAGGCTATAGCTGTCATAGATAGTGATTCCTCTATGGATCTGCACAAATTACATTGAAAACCTTCTGGAAAGGATTCAGCATTCTATATGCCATCTAGAACATTTATAATTTGTGAGAGGAGGTCAAAATATCAACATAACATGAGTTAGGAAGAAGCTGATCCCAACCTTCATGGATAATTTCGAGGGGTTTATGACTTTAGTAAAGGAAGTTCTTGCAGATATGCTGTAAACAGAAGGAGAACTAGAATTAGAAGTGGGGTCTGAAAATGTGACTGAATTACAATCTCATGATAACACTTGAACAGATAAGAAGTTATTTCTTAGATATGAACAAATAAAGTGGTTTCTTGGGATGAAATCTACTCCTGGTAAAGGTGTTGTAAACATTGTTGAAATAACAACCAAAGATTTATACTATTCCATAAACTTAGTTAATAAAGCAGTGGCAAGGTTTAAGAGGATTGACTCTAATTTTGAAAGAAGTTCTACTGTGGGTAAAATGCTATAGAAAAAAACTTTCATGAAAAAAGGTGTCAATCAATGTAGTAAACTTCATTGTTGTCTTCCTTTCAGAAATTGCCACAGCCATTCCAACCTTCAGAAACCATCACCCTAATTAGTCAGCAACCATGAACATCAAGGCAAGACCTTCCACTAGCAAAAAAAAAAAAAATTATGACTCGCTGAAGGCACAGATAATCATTAGCTTTTTTAAAAGAGCAATAAAGTATTCCTAATTAAGATATGTTCATTTCTTCTAGACATAATGCTATGACACCCTTACTTAACAGACTATAGTGTAGTGTAAACATGATTTTTGTATGCACTAGGAAACTAAAAAATTTGTGTGACTCACTTTTCTGTGATATTCCTTTTATTGCAGTGGTCCAGAAATCACCCCATAATATCTCCACATCATACTTGTATTAAGAAAGCTGTCTAAATCATTCTTTTCACTATGTCTACGGCTTAATAGAGGTGTCAATGAATGTACAGACATCAAATTTGTCATAAGAAATTATAAGGTTAAGTCCGTGACGTGATTTTCATTTGATGAGTTGGAAGAGAATAAAGAAAGAGAAGTATTTTGTATGTATCTTCTGAAATAAACAAAAAATTCACCCTGGCAATTTACCAAAATCTAGAGAAAAGGAGAAAGGAAACAGTAATAATTTGATCAATTTTAAAGTTTTTGGTCTTATCATCTGACTTTCTACTTCATCCATAGTAGCCAACTTGAAGGGACTCCGATTTGCCAAAATTGAGATCGTTTGAGCCCTCAAAAAAAAAAAAAAAACAAGGAGCATAATACATTATAAAATGTACAAAAAAAAAGAGTAGAAAAACCTGAGTCTGTACCAATAGTAATAGATACAAAATAAACAAATAGTGTAGAAGCTGGGGCAGGCTACTCCTCACAGCAGAATAACCGATGCTGATTGGCAAATATGGAGAGAGTGCTAGAGTTAGATAATCATCACTTGGTAATCATCAAAGGAATTATTACTCCACATATGCATCATCAACAGATGCTAAATATTGGAGAGAAATTTTAGTAGTGAGCAGAACATGTATATAGTTCTAAATTATCTCTTGACAGATGGCTTATTAGTTGCAGGGGAAAAATTAGTAGCTATACTTTGTCAAGGGCAACACCTTGATCAGATGATCAAAGTTAATATCACCAATGAGGGGCAGATTGATGTTCTGTAACTTCTGATGTGATACCCTAAAAACTACGTATGGTCATTTATATGTAGCATCACATTCTAGCTAGGAATGTAAAATCTAATTATGAATGAATGAATGAATCTAATTATGAGAAAACATTAGAGAAACCCAAAATGAGGAGTGCTTTATTTTAAAAGGTGACTGTATACTTCAAAAGTTTCAATGCAATAAAATGTAAGGAACAGCTAAGAACATGCTCTAGGTTAAAGAGACATTATAACTAATGTAGTATGTAATCTAAGACTGGATTCTCACTGGAAGAAAACAATATACTAAGTAGGACACTATTAGGCAAAAAATTGAAATATGGGTAACAGATTTGATAAAAGTACTGCATTAAAGATAATTTGTTCAGGTTGATAACTATCTTTTTACTCTCTTATGTAAGAGAGTAATCTTATTCTTAGGAGATTCCCTGTATCTGGAAGATATATTGACAAGTTATTCTTAAGTGGTTCAGATACGATATTATACATGAATTGATAGATTAGGTAGATAATTTATTAATTTTCTATTGCTACATAAATTACCACAAACTTTGTAAGTTAAAACAACAGCCATAGATTCTGACCACATTCTGTAGGTCAGAAATCCAGGCAGGCTGAACTGAGTCTTCTGCTTTTTCTTGCTATGCCAAAATCAAGAAGTCAATAAAGCTACCTCCCTTCCTGGAGGCTCTGAGAAATAATTTGCTTCCAACCTCATTTAGGCTGTTCGTGAAATTCAGTGTCTTATGGTTGTAGAACTGAGGCCATATTTCTTGCTGGCTGTCTACTAGGAAACATTCCCTCAGCTCTTTAAAGCCACTCACATTCCTTCATCCATGATCCATATTCAAACTCACAATGATACATGGGATCCTCACACTTTTAATCTCTCTGATCCTTGCTTCTACCACAGGTTTCTGACTTCTGACTTTTAGGGGACTACCTTGCAGATGCAGGAAATAATAACAGTAATACACATTTACTGTCTGCATTGAGGAAAACTGGCCATAAACTATGCTATATCTATGACCCACAAGGATAATAGCTGCATCTTAAAAGTCAACTGGCTTGGGACTTTAGCTACAACTGAAATCTCTTCACAGTATACCAGTATTAATGTTTAATTGAATGGACGAAAGTCAGGTATTTGGGGGCTAGGAGGAGGGCATCTTTATAATTCTGCCTACCCTAGAAAGAGATAGACAATAGATTAAATGGATGGGTGGATGGATGGATAGATAGATGATAGATACATAGATAGATAGATAGATAGATAGATAGATAGATAGATAGATGATAGATAGATAGATACAAGATCATACATAGACTAGGACTGCCCAATGCTGCTAATTTTATCATTTTTTAAAAAGATATTTCGAGTGCCCTAGGCTTTAAGAGACATGAGACAAAAATGCATAATATTTTAAACAGATGAAGGTGGACAACTCAATGTATATTCCTGTTTGAACCAACTTTAACTTGTAAGAATACTGTCTAAGAAGTCTGAAACATGAGGTACTCCACCAGAGTCTGTGGGGTAACAACAGGCAAAGAGAAAGGTCATGGGTTTGTGAGAAATCAGTCAGAAATGGTGCCACATGTGTCTGGCAATTATGTAATACAAAATATTCCAATTTGCATGGGAGGTTGGGATCTCTAAAGAACCCTTAAACCTTCCAATGAGAAAGAGTTAGTATCTGGAAATCTTCCCAGTCAGAAGGCATGACAGACAAGAAATAATAGGAAAAAGCTTCAGCTATAATAAGTAAATTTTTGAAGTCCTGGTTTCCTTTCATCTATCCTCCCTTTCTGATCCTGAAGGAATTAGAAGTCATATAGTGAATAAGGAAGAAAGAAAAGCATTATATGTTCTGTAGGCTAGAATGGCATATATAACTTTAATGCTTGAGGAGATATTCTGAATCTTTAAAGTCAGAGATATGGCATAGTTTATGGCCAGTTTTCCTCAATGCAGACAGTAAATGTGTACTACTGTTATTATTTCCTGCACCTGCAAGATAGTCATCTAAACTTGAAAGGGAGAAGCAAAAGTCAACATATCCACACTTCTCTCATTCTTTTGACCTGCTTTAATTTTGGTAAGCTATGTGTTTTTGGGGGCTTTATGGGTAACTATCAGATTAATTTGGATCTTGAAGGGTGATTTAAGCAAAATATTTAGAGTAGAAAATAATTATTGTTTAATAACAGAATAGCAATTATTGAGGGCTTAGACATGACTCAATCATATCATTTATTTTTTTTTCTTTGCCACTTCTAATCCAAATAACTTTGTAAATTTGGAAGAAAATAAATGCTACAAGACTAGATAGATAGATAGATAAAATACAAAAGCACTCAGGCTACAGAAATTACTAGAACAAATCACAATAATGTTGCTTTGGGCCATCTGCCAGATCAACCAAACCATATTGTTATGGGGAGTAAACTCTGACATACTAATTGTTCTTGGTTGCTTTAGCATAGTTTTGATAAGCAAGTAAATTATAAGCCATATAAATTATAATGCCAAATTCCTGACAACATATCCAGAGGTGATAATTTGAAGGAAAATAGACCTTTTGATCAAAAGGTCTATTAGACCTTATAAAGTAATTATTAGCTATCCTTTGGAATCCGTTTATATTTGGACACATTGTTTATCATTGCATTTTGAAGAAAATGATTAGTCTGAAATGGTTTTCATGCAAGCTCATGACTTAATTGCAGTTTTATCTTAATTTCCCATTATAAAGAATGTGTTAATTTTAATTCCTAGAGATCTCACTTGCAGTATGAATAGAAGAGTAAGAACCTCATTTACAGATATTACTCTTTAGTATAGTGGGATCAGCAGGTATCTGTGGGAGAAAATCCATAGAAAACATCTGAAATGGCATTGAAGTTTCTCAGTATCCTCAAATTGAATTTTGAAAAGTATGTTTCCCTTTACCGTAAAATATTTAAAGTCAATTTATTGGTTTATGTCTATTAATTATGTATAAATATATAATTATTTGTAAATATGGTAGCAAATATGAGAATGCCTTCATTTTGTCTTACAGACTCAGAAATACTTTATACTAAAGATTTAAAATCAGATCTGAAACTATAAAACTACTAAAGGAAAACATAAGGGAAACACTTCAGGACATGGGTCTGGGCAAAGGCTTTATGGATATGACTTCGAAAGCTCAGGAAAGAAAAGCAAAAATAGACACCTGGGATTATATCAAACTAAAAAGCTTCTGCCAGCAAAAGAAACAATCAACAGATTGAAGAGACAGCCTGCAGAAAGGGAGAATATGTTTGCAAACCATTCATTTGACAAAGTTAATATCCAAAATATAGAAAGAACTAAAACAACTAAAAAGTAAAAAAAACAAATAATGTGATTAAAAAATGGGCAAATGATCTAAATAGATATTTCTTAAGAAAGCATACAAATGGTCAAGAAGTATATGAAAGATGCTCAGCATCACTAATCATCAAGGAAATGCAAATCAAGCCACAATGAGATATTATCTCACTCCAGTTAAAATGGTTATTATTAAAAAAAATGAAAAATAACAAATGCTGGCAAGAATGAGGGGAAAAGGAAATTCTTAAATACTTTTGGTGGGAAGTTAAACTAGTAAAACTATTGTGAAACACAGTATGGAGTTTCCTCCAAAAACTAAAAATAGAGCTACTGTATGATCTAGTACCCCACTGCTGGGTATTTATCAAAAGGAAAGGAAACAAGTACGTCAAAGAGATATCTACTCCCATGTTTATTACAGCACTCTTCACACTAGTGAACAAATGTGCATCAGTGGATGAATGGATAAAGAAAAACTTGTACATACACAGAGTGGAATACTATTCAGTCATAAAAAATGAAATTCTATCATTCATGGAAACATTGATTATCCTAGAAAAACATTATGTTAAGTGAAATAAATCACACATAGAAAGATTAATACTGCATGTTCTCATTCACATGTGGGAGCTAAGAAAATAGAGCCCATAGAAATAGAGTAGAAGTTACTAGAAATTGGGAAGGGAGGGAAGATAGGAAGAGGTTGGTTAATGGATACAAAATTGCAGCTAGATAATAAGAATAAATTCTAGTTTTCTATATTACTGTAGGGTGACTGTAGTTGCCATTAGTTCCTTATATATTTTCAAATAGCTAAAGAAAAGACTTTGAATGACCCCAACGCTAAGAAATAATAAACTTTTGTGGTGAGAGATATCTTAGTTACCTTAACTTGATCATTACACATTGTATACATGAATTGAAATATTCTTCTGTACCTCATAAATATGTACAATAATTATACATGAATGAAAAAATTGTTCAAAGCTATTATAAGAATCACTGGCTCTTTAAATTTATGTTGAGGCATCAGCCCATTTTATGCAACATGTAAACTCGCCTACAGTAAAAAAATGCAATTTGGTTTTATAAAATATTTAAAGTCAACTTATTGGAATTATGTCTCTTCATGACCAAACAAATCAAAAGCATCCTGTACTTAAAAGGCATATTTTAAATCGCTTTGCCTTAATCACGCTGATGAAATTGAAACCACTGCAATTTAATTTATATTACTATTTGAAAATAATTTCACTAGAAAAATTCACCATATCAAGATTAGGAATATCATTTTGAATTGAAATATTCAAGACTGGCACAAGTAGAAAAGAGGTCAAATTAAGTCATGCAGCCTAGAGGAAAGAACTTAATGTCAGTAGCCAGGATACTTGGAACTTCAGCCTCTGCTAAGCTAGGGAGTTGTAATTTATGTGCCTCATTTTCCTCATCTCCAAGACAGGAAAACCAGTTCTCCTGATCTTCCTCACAGGATGGTTTGAAATATCCCTTTAGATCACAGAATAGCATGAGTAAATGCTCACAATACAATCCTAAGTAAAAAGGGTGAAATATAACATTATACACACAATATCATTCCAATTATATAAAGAGAAATGGACACATGCACCTGTACAAACACATATGTATAGCTAAGAGACAAGACAGAAATATTACAATGATTATCTCTGGGTGATAGATTGTGACTGACTTTTTTTCTCTTTACAGGGTTAAGAGAATCCAATATTTGGAAATAAGGCAATTGAGTAGGAGATCATAATCTTTCAATGTCGTATGCAGACATTGTTTAACAGATTCTGCCAAACATTTTTCACTTTATTTGTCATTTGAGTAGATCTCAGTTTAGTTGGTAGTAAAAATGATAGCCCCCAAAATTGTGGTATTGCCTTCTGGAGCACAAATCAGGTTTTTATCAAACCTGCCAGTTTTATTCTAACATTCTTTCTATTTATTCCTATAAATATCCCGTTCCTCAAATGTTCTTGGAATCAGCTTTATCATCTTACTGGTTCTTTTACTAATCAGTTAAATAAAACGTTGACACGTGTTCATTTTATAGTTGTATGAGTCATACTTTGAAAAGTATACTTTGGCAGAGCCTTTCAATATTTTCTAAATTCTCATTGTGCCTTCAATAAATCATATTTTTAAATTTTGGATCACTGCTGGCATTGTATTTTGAAAACTTAAAAGCATTATATTAAGTGAAACATATTAACATAATGCAGAGGAGGTAATAAGTGGTAATAAAAATGAATTAATGTGTCTCTGAATATACCATCACTGCCAAATACTAACTGTGACCTAGGGAAAAAATAATAACAAAAACTTCTTTACTGCTCTAGGATTCAGTTTTCTCTTCTCTAAATTAATAACAATTATACTATTATCACAAATTTCTATATTTATCAAAATATTAACCAGCCCAGTGATAGCTCCCTAAATCTTGTTTCTTTCAGGTGGTTACTTTTTCAGGTCCTCATAGTACTCAATTTCCAAGCCATTTTAATACAGATATTCCAGGTTCAGCTTATATTAAATATAATAAAACATGGATACTTTCATTCCCTCTATTAGTCCTTGCCAAATTGATGGGCAAACCCCCGTCCTCTATATTTCAAAAAGAAATCTCTGAGAGAAATTTCAATGTGGTATTCATAAACCCTTCAACATATAATTTGGGTCAACTCCTAATTCACTAAAGGGGTGTCCACGAGGGAAGTAAAATAATTAGATACTCAAGGATACATTAAAACATGGTCCTGATGGACAGGTAACCAGAATTTGACAGTAGTTGTTACAACAGAACTGAGAGGAAAATAGATAAGTAAATTATTTAACAAACCAAAGCCTTCTAAATTAGTGGGCACCAAACACACTTAGTCACTGTAATCACACTGGACCCACACAGACTTACTAAATTAGCACCTATGAGGATAGTGTCAAATAGAAGTAGTCTCTATCTACTTCCATATCTTATCTGTATTTGTAATAGTTCTGCAATAAGCCTAATTATCAGCCTGGTACTTTAATTAATCAATCACTGCAAGAGTGTAACAATGTATTATAGTCCCCAGATTAAAATGGCAGACTATTTCACTCATTCATTCAACAGATATACTTACTTTGTGTCAGGCTTTCTGTCATGATTATGTTATTCCACTCAACTTTGAAGATTTTCTGTCATAATCATTGGAGGACTCTAACCATTCTAAACAGACAGTTTGAATTATTCTAAAACAAATGGTGCTCAGTGCACCAATTAAGACAAGAGCAATGTCTGTTGTCTTCCAAACATAGTATTTAACAACAACCTAACATTCCTGAATAACTGTCAATAATCTTATCAAGGTACCTTGAGAAAATCAGGCTGTTATTCTTAAGATAATTCAACTACTGATATTCATTATTATCACTACATTAAGACAGACTGCCTTCTAGGTGGAAGTAGTTACCTTCTTAGATTTGTATCTTTCTTCAGACCTAGTTCATTTTTACACTTTCTCTGTCAAACGAAAGAAAATTATCTATTAAGTGAACAGAACGTGACAAGCTTTTTCAAAACTTGTTTTTATCTATGGCTCAATTAAAATGATCTTCTGGATTAAAAGGCAAATCCCAGTAAACCAGCCTGAGTTTCCTTTTCCCCTTATCAAACTAGATTATAAAACTTTTGAGAGCTACCTATTTTTGTTTCTCCTTATTCATACCTCACTGTTGCCAAGACTGTAGTATACTCATAACTTCTTGTTGACTTGGCATAATGCAATGTCCCATTTTGCATGTCTTAGCTATGTTGTCAGACATCTTAGTTTTTCTGAAATAACCAACTTATTAAGCAAAAGATTTGGATTAGTTTGCTCTAATAGCTTCTCTAAAAAAATGATTGAAACCATGCTTTAGGGAAAGAGAATGAGAGACAGAGAGTGATAGTAAGAGAAGAGAAAAGAAGAGAGAATCGTTGTAGACAAAAATCAATTACATTTACTTCCACTGCACAAAACTTGCTCACTTTAGTCTTCTCAAAATGTTTCAAAATTCCTTGATTTTGTGCTTACACCCTCCTGTGCAGGTTTACATTTTTACTTAGAATAAAATTCCTGAGTAAGAGATACATTATATTTCAGCAAAACATCTTCGCCAAATGGCAAAAAAAAAAAAATGGAAAGAAATTAAAATTCTGTCATTGGGTCAATAATGAAGTTTGAACAGGTTGATGAAACAACATAAAACGCCAATGTAATTTTGTGGGCAAGAATAAATGAATATTCAGGGTCTTTGGCAAAATTGAATGAATCATCAATTTAGTTAAACGTTTCACAACTCTTTCTAGTTTTATTTAATACATTTGCAGGAAGTAGTGATTATAGAGAGAGCAAAAAAAGCAGAAAACAGAGCTGTTCTCTCATTTTTTCTTGATCAGCTTAATCTTCTAATACCATAGGATTATAAAGTAGCAGAGCACAAAGACTGGAAAGCCAGCAAAAGCTGGGCACTACACATTACTGAATCCACAGAAATGTAGTGCATTGAGTATTCTTGTAACAAAGACACTAGTAGCAGAATTTTTAAATTGCTCATTTAATCTAAATATACATTTTAAAAATAAGTACTTTCTTTGGTACACATAACTAAGGAACAAATGAATTTTATATTTGTTTTGCTTTACAGTTTATGAAGTATTTTTAGCTGTAGTATTTCATTTGGGCCTCATAACAAATTTGTGTTTCAAGACAAGGCTTACCATCTTCATCTGACAAATAGAGAAATGGATGTTCACAGTAATTTAATAGTCAAAGTTGGATTGTAACTTATATCTTCCAACACCCAGTCTCATGAAATTTCTAAGAGTTTTCATCTATTTATTATTTTTTAATCTAAAAAAATAGACTGCTCATTAAGATTTTTTAAATCTATGCACTTCATCACACATGATGAACATGTCTATCAAGGTTTGAAAACACTTTCAGTACAAAATAACAAATTTGGGTGGAAGAAGAAGTAAATACATCTCGAAGAATTTAACTTTTGTGTTCTTACATAAAGTTTTTATTGAAACTTATTACATATATTATATATACGTTAATATGCAGAAAAGTACTCAATTTTTACATCTACAGCTCGTGTATTTCACAAAGTGAATACAACACCCAGATTCAGACTCAGACCATTACCAGCAGATCAGCAACCTTCCCCTTACCGTTTTCTAGTCACTGCATCCCCAAGGATAATCACTATCCTGACTTCTATTACCGTAAACTAGACTTAGAACTTTATATAAATGGAAGTATGAAAGTTATTTGTATACAGTTTCTAAATCTGTACTCTTCAATATACCTCAAAAGCATTATTTCTTCTAAAAGTAATCCTGTTTATTAACTATATTCTATATACCCAATATTGACTTTTATGTAAGATTTGTCTAGAATTTTCTAAATTCTAGAAAAAGTCTTTGTCTGCCAAGCTTAATTTATATTGTTCCATAAAGATGAGACATTGTCCTGCATGTTTCTCGCCCCTTTACCTTGTGTCTATAGAACCAGTACACCATCTGCTCAAACTAGGGCAGCCTGAAGTTTAGACATTCGACTCTGCTCCCCATTTCAACCCTGTACCCATTCATCAGGCCCTTTTAATTATCTTCTTTGCATATTACTTCTTATGTCAACCCTGTACTCATTCATCAGGCCCTTTTAATTATCTTCTTTAAGTATTACTTCTCATGTCAACCTTTCCCCATTCATCAGGTCCTTTAATTATCTTCTTTAAGTATTTTCCCTTTGAGAAACCAGTATTTATTTAACAAGGAATTTTTATGCCTTAGTCATAAGATATTAATAATGTGGATATTTTCAACAATATACTAGGTAAAAAAGAAAAATGGATTAAAGAAAGAAGAATTTCAGCAGCTACTGATTTGTACCTTAAGGGTGGATTTTTCAGATTTCTCATTCTACCCTGAAAGTTGTTATCAAGGGATCAGAAATGAGAATAACTTCCATTAGCCTTACATATTGGTTGATTGGTCACCTATTGAATAATGTTGCAAAAGCCTAGATCATAACCAAAAAGCATTCAATCATCTTGCGGTGTTTTAAAAACTGTCATTATATTCAGTTGTTTTACTGGCCTCAAACATGCTAAGGTCTCAGGACACAGACCATCTGCGAGACTGGAACAGTGTCAAACAGGGAGTATTATAATTTAAGTTAACATTAAGGTTTTTGTTTTAACAGTTATCTCCCTCCTAAGAGACAGCACTCATAATAAAAGAATATAGAGCTGTAAACCAGTAAACATAAGTTTGAATTCTGGGTCCAGCAATTTCTATGTGGAAGCATCATGATTTTACCAATCCCACTTTTTATAAATGTCAATTGTCAGTAATGGATACAAATCTTGTCTATTTTATTTGAGTTCATATCTTGTACTTCTTTTCTATGCTCACAGGTTTGGGCATATATATATATATATATATATATGTTTTATGAATATTTATTAATAATGAAATTACCATATCCTAAAGAGGACAATTTGAAGAATAAATTCAAATTCAGGCAGTACGTATACAATATTTTTTTCACAGAAGCAGTTACACAAAATTTTCTGAAAACATTTCACAACAATTGAATTAGACACATGAGTGATACTAAAAGTCTCAGTATTGCATTGGGAAAAAGAGAAGTAGTTGGCCATGTAGGTCTTTGCAATGTCTCAGTGAAATAACTCAGATGAGGTAAATGAAATAACAAAAAAAAAATTGTTTTTATTTCTATTCCACCAGTCTATCTTTTACTGGATAATACAGGAAGCATATGTGAGTAAATAAAATTCAACACCTAGACTAAAACAATAATTGCTGGTAAAAATTCCTCACATTGTACCAAAATTCTAACAGAATACATTTCTTCCAAGCTTATATCATTTGCATCTGCAAATGCAAATGAACATCTATGAAGTTGGTGTTGAAGTTATTTTACACCAACATTTAAATGACCATAGATGTCTGACTAAGAATTTAACTATTATCTTCAAAAATATTTTCAAGAATTGCCATGCAAAGGCAAAATAAAATTCAAACACCATATGCAATAGGTCAGTATATATTGTTTATATACACAGTTTTAAAGCCTGAAATCAGATTTATACCGAAATTCTTATTTAAAAAAAAAGTTGGGTATGTGTTCATGTTTGGAGGTCTGATGACATGCAGAAAACTGTAAAGGAAATTACATCTAGGAAAAAACGTGTAAATCTAGAGTACAGCACAGTGTCATCTGTAAAAAGCTTCATAACGGGACAGAGGATTAAGTAGCATTTTATTTCACAAAGAACACATCAGGTAGAGTAAAACCCCTAAACTAACTGTGCCCAAGGAAGAGCTGTCCAAGTCCTTGGTGCTGAGCGTTTCTATATTTCAAACTGCAATTTAAACTTTCCTAATGAAAATCTTTCTTATGTAGACTCACATTTTCAGTATTCTTAAGGAATCATAAATAGAATTTTAACTATTTTGATGACTTGGGATTATTTGGGGTACACTTCATGCAATATTCTTAGTAGCTCTTACTTCTGGATTACTGGGGTTTTGTATATTCTCTATTTTTTTCTTACTTTTTGACCTTTTCTTTCTCTCAGATATACCTTCTTGCTGCTGTTTTGTATCTAAATATCACCATCTTCTAATCTTCTGCTTCTAGAGAATTAGCATGGGTAGCAGAAAGGCTGCACATGAATTCAGACAAAACTTGGTTAAAATCTCTTCCCTGACAGATTTGGAGTCACTTTTATCATCCTGATAAGCCTTAATGTACTCATAATGTAAAAGTGGAGGTACAGTCTATCCCATAGGAAGGATTAAATTTGAGTATTAAGAAATGATACATGGGCCGGGCGCGGTGGCTCACGCCTGTAATCCCAGCACTTTGGGAGGCCGAGGCGGGTGGATCATGAGGTCAGGAGATCGAGACCATCCTGGCTAACAAGGTGAAACCCCGTCTCTACTAAAAATACAAAAACTTAGCCGGGCGCGGTGGCGGGCGCCTGTAGTCCCAGCTACTCGGGAGGCTGAGGCAGGAGAATGGCGTGAACCCGGGAAGCGGAGCTTGCAGTGAGCCGAGATTGCGCCACTGCAGTCCTCAGTCCGGCCTGGGAGACAGAGCAAGACTCCGTCTCAAAAAAAAAAAAAAAAAAAAAAAAAAAAAGAAATGATACATGAAATGCAAAGCAAAGTCCCTCTCATAAAGACTTTAATATGTGAATTTGATTATGCTTCCTCCTCTAATCTGCAATGATTTAAAGAGCCATGTAATGAGGTGTGTCAAATTGATATTGCAGTGAATATTTTCTAGGCTTCTTGGTGTCCAAGTGCATAACCCCCTATTTGATCTTCATTCTCACCTTATGTATATGTCTCCTGATATGGAGTCTGAGCACGCAAGAAACATGTTAGCGGTGCAAGTTACACTGTCTGTTTGGGGGTATTAGGATATGCTCACTAATCCACTTATTAGCAAAAATCCTTAAGACTTTTTTATAATTAGCATGCCAATCTAAGAGGTCAGTGTCACCAAAAAACAGGGATATGGATAAATAATACACTATTTTTTTTCCTAGCCAGTAGCAATTTCTTTGTTACTTTACTATGTTGTTAACACTTCGATTTTTTTTTTTTAAAAAGGAAAGTAAAATTTCTAATCAGGTGTTTTCTTAACAGCTATCATAATAGCCTGGAGAAAATTTAGATTTAAATTCATAATTAAATTTTAGGGATATATATGTATGTGTATTTAATATTTTAGCATATTTTACTACAAAAATTTTTCTTATGTTAGAATTGGCAGTATTAGAATAATTAGGAAATAACCTATCCTTGACTGTGACAATTCATTTCCCTAGTACTGGACTAATCCACATAAAGCCTGCAGCCCAGTTTTTATCTAACCATAGAAATCAACTGAAACTTTTACCAAAATTATGCATATCCCTATGCCTTACTTAGCAGATTCTGTTTCAGTAGTGTATAAAACTAGTATATAAACTAAGATTCTCTTTAAAAAGACTTAAAGTACAGTGGTTCATAAAAAGAGAATTTATAATAATGCATTTGGTTAGTGAGAAGTGTATAATACATAAGCAGTTCTGCTTCACAGTTTTCTAGAGACTCAGGTTAGCAAATCAAGTCTTCTTTTCCAAGAGGGCTGTTCCCATTGTTACCATTCCCAGTTGTGGTGAAGAAGAAAGTCCATGACAAGAGTGACTGTCTAAAAAGACAAGAGTGATTGCCTAAAAGAGTAATCACGGATCTAGCGAGGAGTCTGCTTAGTACATTGCCAAACATTATGAAGAAAAGAATCAATGAGGGAGAGTCATTTTTTAATTTAATAAATAGGGCTGGATTCTTGAATATTTAAATCCATTCTTAGGCAAGTTTGAAAATTTTAGGAAGAACGGGGGAAAATATGCTTAGGCACCAGAAAGATCCATTTTCAAAATATGGCTCTGGCCTTCAAATTCTATGTTAGTTTAAGCAAGGCCACATCTCTCTGTTTTATATTACATATTTTTCATGATGCAGGAGCAATGATTAATATAATTGACACACTGCAGGTACATATAATATAGAAAGCAAAAGTCCTACAATCCTTGCATAATATAACCACTGCTAATGGTTTCGGTAGCCTTCCTTCATATTTTATATTACTTTCTAAATACATACCAACATATTATTATTGAGTTTTATTTTACAAAAATTTCACTTTCAGCAAGTTAAAAACCACCAAACCATAGAACCAATTCTTACATGGTGAAAAAGGTCTAAATAAACATGTGGGTCAGGTGCAGTGGCTCACACCTGTAATCCCAGCATTTTAGGAGGCTGAAGTGGGAGAGTCGCTTGAGCCCATGAGTCTGAGACTAGCCTAGGCAACACAGGGAGATACAATCTCTATGAAAAATTAAATAATTAGCCAGACATGTTGGTACATGCCTGTAGTTCCAGCTATTTGGGAGGCTGGGGCAGGAAGATTACTTAACCCCATGAGTCCTAGGCTGTTGTAAGCTATGATCACACCACTGCACTCCAGCCTAGATGAAAGAGAGAAAAAAAGTTCAAATATGTTTTGTTTATAAATATATCTGTTATAATATGTGAAATATTATTCCAAATTGAATAAATAAAATTATTTCAAATTCCAACTTATTCCAATTGGAAGAAATTTTGGAAAAATTTAAAGAAGTTAAAAGAAATGAAGACTACACATACACTTTGAAATAGAAGTATTGTTAAGACATATTAAGCTAACAAAAAAGCAGATTACAGAGTGATATAAACAATATCATTGCTATTCTTAATGTAAGAACATTCACCATAAATAATCATATATTTAGTGGGAATATACATATTTTTTACTTTGTCTTTGCACACCCATCACATTTTGGGCAACTAGAACTCAAAAATCCCCGAAGGTTTTGTGTGTGTGTGTGTGTGTGTGTGTGTGTGTGTGTGTGCTTTTTCCTTTTCTGGTAAAATATAAATATTAAACGTATTTTTACAGTTTCTTTGAACATGATTCTTCTTGTAATAAAGTAGTCATAAATATGGAAGTGATTTTCCTACATGCTACATTGTCCAGCCAATAAATATACTTACAAAATAACGTGGAGAATAAATAGAAAAAAAAAATAAAGTTATTACCTGCTTTCCATTACTTTCAAAGACCATTTTTTTCTGACTATATGCCTAACACAGAAAGACATTTTAACACAGTGACTCACACAGTGACGCCCATTTATAAAGGCAATTGAATCCACTTCTTGAAAATTACTCAAATATTCTGCTAGGTGTATATTTGTTGGTGAAAATAAATGGGAATTGGCAACCTCTCTAAAAATTCAATCATGATGACTATCATACTTCTACACTTTATTATTCTCCCCACACTCGCATTCACAAATTAAGTGATTCAGTTCAATTTGACAATATCTGAATTTTTGTGCGCTGTTTGCAATGTACTCCCTAGTCACTGAAGAGAAGTCAAAGATAAAGTGAGTTATGTGTCAAGGAGTACCTGGATCATCTCAGTACTGGGATGAGAGAAAAATACAAGGCAGAGCAAGAATACCGCATCAAAGGAATTCTGTGTAAATTACCATTCTCAGGATGTAGAGCTCTGCTCTGTATCATGTCACTGTCAGAACCTTGAATTGTTCTATAAAGGAGATGGCATTTGTGTCTTAAGATTATCTGACAGGAGAATACAGGCCAGGCTAGAGACAGAAAGTATAGAGACTGGTGTTAGGGCCTTGAAATATGCTTACATGCATTTTCTCATTTAATGCCTTTACTATTTTTTAAGGTAATATATTAGTTTGCTACAGTTGCCTTAAGAAAGTACCACAGACTGGGTGACTTAATAAAAGTTTATTTTCTCACACCTCTGGAGGCTAGAAGCCTGAGATTAAGGTGTCAGCAGGGTTGGTTTCTTCTAAAGGCTCTCTTTAGCTTGCATGTGACCGTCTTCCTCCAGTGTCTTCATATGATCTTTAAGTGTATCTGTATTCTAATCCCCTCTTCTTATGTGGACACCAGTCAGATTGGACTAGAACCCACCCATATGACCACATTTTGCCTTAATTACCTCACTAAAATTATATCTCCAATATATTCTGACGTGCTAAGGGTTAAGACTTCAACATATAAATCTGAGGAGGACACAATTCACCCCATAACCAATAAGCACTACTATTATCCCTAATTTATATGTATAGGGGATTTGAGAGGTTAAAAATTTGAAATAATAAATACTTTACTTATGATCACAGACCCAGTAAGTAAAGGGCTAAATACAATATATAACATACCTTAGTCTGTCTGGCTTCAGTCCTGAAACATAGCAGGGACTTGACAAGTAAGTACTGGATGAATGAATGAATAATGAAAATACATTTTATTTTCACATAGTTTCTGAGGCAAATTCATGATAGAGCCAGAATTTATGAGGCTGAATCTAGCATCATTGAATCAATTTGCAACTTTGCCTCTAACAGCTTAGATTCATCAGGCAAGGAAAAATCATGGAAAATTTCTGGAAAGACAACTGGCAATGAGGAAAGTGGTATTCTAGAAGATCAATATGAAAAAAGAGAAACATTAGGATGAAGCTGGGCATTCCAAGCATGCTGCAGTGATGCAGGATTAAGGAAATGACTGAATCATGATACATGATGCTACCATAAAATTTTGATATATATGATAATGGCATTGATTGAGTTGCTACAACATGATGGGCAATGCTACGTATTTTGCACATACTATCTCATGAAATCTTCAAAGCATCATTTGGTATAGGTACTATAATTATCCTTTTTCTGAATTTTTGCAATGTAGCAGGTACTGTGTTAAGTGATTTATTAAATTATTTCATCTATGCAACAGTCTATAGTGAAAGGTACTATTGTTTTTCTGTTTTTGTGTATGAGGAAATTGAGCCCTGAAGATTAAGTAACTGGTCTAAGGCCACCCAGTAAGTGATGAACACAGCATTCAAAACAAGCCTAACTGAATCAAGAGTCTAGGTGATAACAAACAATCCATGTCTATCCCATTATTGTATATTCATACATTGTTTTGACCCCTACAACTTTTTAAAAATTAGATGTTAAAATGAGACTCTGAAAATGTGTGGTCATTTAGCTAATATTCAAACCCAGTCTTGATTATGATAAAGATAATCATAAAGGAATATGAAACAAAATCTATTTGCCTTTAATGTACCTTATGGAATTCTCTAATCTTCTAGCATTAACAAAATATTAGGGCTTACAATTAAAATACTGAAAGTTCTTTGGGCTGTTTATTATATTGAAACATTTGCTATTTCCCATTGAATCGTATCATATTTATAATCTGAGAGCTCCCAGATACTATTTACTGATGAGTTCACTAAAGGTAGAATTTCCAAAATGAGAGAATTAATCAGCAATTGCATGTTTGTTTTAATTGATATAAAATGTAAATGGAATTTACCATTTTAACCATTTCTAAGTGTACGGTTTAGTGACATTAAGTACACACCTTGTTGTACAACATTGTTGCAAAACAGGATGATATATTATCTTGAAAGGAAGAAAAAATAATAAGAAATGCCATAGCAAATTAAAATATGTTTCATGGAAACATGGATTTAATAAAAAATAAATAAATAAAAATTTATAAATTATAATATGTTTTCCAAGTTGCTTTCCCATTAATTACATTAAGAATTTTCATCTGAGAGTCTGTGATGTCTGTACTAGCTTGATTCAAGTTGCATGGTGTCAATGAAAAAAGTCAAACTCTGTAAATATTTAAAGAGATTTATTCTGAGCCAAATGTGAGGAGCATGACCACAAGATAGCCCCAGGAGGTTCTGAGACCATGTGCCCAAGGTGTTTGGTTTATAGCTTAATTTTATACATCAGGGGGATAGAAACTACAGGCAGACATTAATCCATACATGTAAGGTGTATATTGGTTCAGTCCCGAATGGTGGAACAACTCAAAGTAGGGGGCTTCCAGGTCACAGGAGGATTCAAAGATTTTCTGACTGGCAAATGGTTGAAAGAGTTAAGTTATTATCAAAAGAGCTGGAATCAACAGAAAGGAGGATCTGGGTTAAGATAAGAGGTTGTAAAGAGCAAGGTTTTTGTTATGCAGATGAAGCCCAAATAGCTGGCTTTAGAGCTCTTACTAGAGCTGAAAAGGTGCCAGACTCTTAGTTAATTCTCTCCTGAATCAAGGAAAAGACCTGGAAAGGGAAGGGGATTCTCTGCAGAATGTTGATTTTCCCCACAAGAGTTAGTTTTGCAGGGCCGTTTCAAAATATATCAAAGAAATATATTTTGGGGTAAAATAGTTTGGTTTCTTTCAGGGCCTGTTTGTTATCTTTCATCTGATGCTATAATAGAGTCAGATTGGAATTTGGTATCTCATTGCTACAAAGAGTCTGTTTTGTCAGTCTTAAGATCTCTGTTTAACGTTAATGCTGGTCAATTGTTCCTGAATTCTAAACGAAGGCGGGTACAATGAGGCATGTTGGACCTCCCTTTCCCGGCATAGCATAAATTAGTTTTTCATGTTAACTTTGGAATGCCCTTGGCCAAGACGAAGGTTCATTTAGTTGGCTGGGCAATTTAGAATTTTATTTTTGGTTTATAATGGGTTTGCACTGCCCCTCATCTATTGAACAACAGAATCGCTAGAAACTATTGTTAAAAGTCTCAGTATCAGTGCAAATGAGGAGACTCAGAGAGAAGGAAAGCTGAGAGATGAAAGGAGCACCCTCCATTAGGAAGGAGAGCAAAGTTGGGCTGAAGACAGATTCTCATCAGGAAAAGATAACCCTACTCCTTAGGGACTGTAGTACAGAATCTCCATACTCTAGTAAACTCTGACATTTGTTTTCCTTTCTTTTGCTGGACTTGGGCTTGTTCAGAGCACCATGCTGTGGCAGACAGATTGACACTCCCCTCATTCTGGTGATAATTAACCTTGGCTCCCTCTATTAACAGCAACAAACACGGTTCAAAGACTGATCCAGAGCAATGAATCAGCAATTATTTACTTACTTCTTCCCAGCACAGTAGAAATGTTTTGCTGTTACTAGAGAACTCAAAATTCAAACTGTATAATACAAAATTGTTACATTTAGGCCATAACGTTTTGGTTCTGTTAAATAATACAGAAGTGAGACTTTAAACAAGAAACTATAAAACTTCTGGACACTTTCAGTGATGGCTAATACATGCAAGTTGCCACTTAGGCCTCTCAACCAGGGCATACATCATGATGGATCTTCTCACTCTGTCTCTTAAACCTGAACTAGGCTTTTACTCCCTAATAGTTATTTTTTTGTATGAAAAATTTGCCATTGCTGCTCTCGACCATGCAAATGTAACCCAAATACACACCAGGCATGATATAGTTAAAAGCAAAATTATATGTTCTAAAATATTTAGACAGTGGTCAAGTTATCACATAGTATAAAAAATAATATAGAATAAGTCACTCTTTCATCAAACCAGCAGGCTTTTTCTTACCATATCTAAGGAAGTTCAAAGACATTTACTAATGCTTACTCACTGAATCAAGTGAAAAGGAAAAGCTAACCCAAGAACTTGCCACAAAGATTTTGCAAAACATGAGTATCCCATTTATTCAGGGACATTAAATGATTAAAACTAATATCCTGAGTTAAAATTACCAGGGGACATATTTAATGGAGGAAAACAAAGGCTTCAAGAGAAATCAATTGTAAAATAATCAATACTAAAATATGTACTCTGAGCAAGTCTTCATGCAAAGAGTAAGACTTGGTAATAAGGGCCCAAAGCAAATACGGACATATCAGCAGACATTAACCTGCTAGGAGACCAAGAAAGAGACCTCAAGTAAACGAGCATTGAAATAATTTTTTAAGCTAAACTACTTGAGAAAAATAAAGCCTAGTGAAGACAAAAACCAGCACTGATTTCAGAACAATTTTATAACTTTTATACTTCATTGTATATGAAGACTGCAGAATGTGCATAGCTATTCAGAGATTAATTTCAGTAATTTTATAATGTTTTGCTTCATAATATCACACATTTCAGAAGTCTTCTAAGATTTCATATATTGATTCCAGGACGGGATGGGCTGTATCTGATAATCAAAATCAACGTTATGGATCCATTACTTTTATATTGTACTGTGCAAATATAATTTTTAAAGTCTCATGAAAAATTTTAGCATTTTTTATTGCTATATATTATCTGGGTATCAGTAAGGTGTACATTGGTGTAGTAGTTAGCAGAAGCCAAAAATGGCTCAAAGGGATGAATAATCTACTGGAATGAGAAATTTGAAAGAGTGTACAAACCAAGATAATTCTATAAACACTGAAAAAGGAAGTCTGTGGGTTTCTTCCTAGTCACTGTTAATTCAGGTGACCTGGGTTGACAGTTAAGTGCACAAACCTGAGTCAGATGAACTGGGTTTGAATACAGCTAAGCAATCTTACAAAAGTACTTAAAATTTCTCATCTGGAGTTTTTCATTTTTAGAGGATAAAAATAATAAATCTACCTCGTTTGATTGTTTTGAGGGTTAAATGAAGTGAAGTGTTAAAAGCACTTGGCATAGGGCTGGGTGCGGTGGCTCACGCCTATAATCCCAGCACCTTGTGAGGCTGAAGCAGGGGGACGATTTGAGGTCAGGAGTTTGAGACCAGCCTGTCCAACATGGTGAAATCCCATCTCTACTAAAAATACAATAATTAGCCGAGCATGGTTGCTCATGCCTGTAATCCCAGCTACTCGGGAGACTGAGGCAGGAGGATTACTTGAACCCAGGAGGTGGAGGTTGCAGTGAGCTGAGATCCCACCACTGCACTCCGGCCTGGGCAACAGAGTGAGAATGCATCTCGAAAAACAAACAAATGAACAACAACCAAAAAAAAAGCACTTGGCATATAGTGAAGTGTTCAGAAATGCTAGCTACTATTACCTACTAACACTACCTGTGAGACCACTCCTCTTTCCCTTTTAATCCAGTCAAGCTCAGTTCTTATCAGCTTGGCTTTAGCAGTTCTAACTCTGGTTTTAACACCTTTGTATATAAATGAGCACACAAATATGATAGAGAGAGAGTTGGAAGCAGGGAGCCTCAGATTTAAAGAAGAATTACAAAACTGTAATGCAATTATTGAAACTAAAAAATTAGCTTTGTTACAATACTATTAACCAAAGTGCGAAATGTATTCAGGTTTCACCATTTTTTTCTGCTAAAATCCTTTGTATTTTCTAGGATTCAATCCGGAATTCTGCACTGCACTTAGTCCTCATGTCTCCTTAATCTCCAATCTCGATAGTCCCTTAGTCCTTTCTTATCTTCCATATGTTACCATTCATTATTTTGTAGAATGTTCCTCAATTTGGGTTTGTATATCTGATTTGCTTTTTCATTTCTTATGAATATTTGCATTATTGGAAAGGATAGCACAGAAGTGATGTTCTCTTCTCAGCGCATTGTATCAAGAGGCCTATAATATTGATATGTGTTATTGGGGATGTGCACCTTGATTATTTTGCTAAGTTGGTTTCTGCCAGGATTTTCCCCTGGGGACTTACTCTTTCCCCTTGGCATTACTAAATATTTCAGGGAAGAAAATATGAGACAATGCACATGTCTTGTTTCTGTATTAAGTTTCACTCATTCTTTTAGCATTTCTGCGTGGATCTTGCCTATGGCAATTATTACTGAGGGGTTTTAACAAGGATTTCATATTTTCCTCATTTTATATATATTTATTAATTGAAATTTTTCTGTAGAATATTTTTATTTTTCTGCCATTAATTCAGTTATTTATTTATATTAATATGAACTCATATATTTATTTTATTCTCTGATTTATAATCCATTACTATACTTATTTTGTTGCTCAACTTATTCCATTACTGTCCATTGAGAGCTCTTTCAGATTAGTTCTTGTGCCCTTCTAATATGTCTCCATCTTTTTTAGCACTTTCTTGAATTCTGGAAACAAAAGATGCTCCAGTATCACCTTGTATTTTCCCGCCCCAGCCCTGGAATCAACCAGTTCTCCAAAGATTCTTTTATTATTATTATTATTATTGTTGAAGTTCTGGTGCCTGTATTGATATCTGGCTCTTTATTCTACAAACCAAGATCAGAGGTGTAGGTGTGCTCATTGCTAATGATGTGCCATTGCTTTAAGCATTTATCAGTAGACAGAGCCAGGAAATGTAAGTATGTATCCCAACTTGTACATAGATACATATCCACATGTATCTCTAAATATGATAATATTTATCTATTCATAAAATTATATAATTTTTAAATGAGTCTATATTGATACCTCTAACTCAGTCTTGTATAAGTTCATTCCAGCCTTTCCTATTGTCTTATTTGTAACTTCTTTTTCCAGTTATAACTTCCCTCTCATTATTTATATTTACTTATTGTCAATCCTAGCACACAAAGAAGTTCATAATTTCTAGCCCATAGTCCTAAGAAAAATAAATTTACAAACTAAAGTCCATTGTTGGTATACATTTCTCTCTCTGGTCTTGCAATACCCAGTCACAATACAGCCTTCCAAAGTTACTTAGCTCAGTCCCTTTCCTCTCCATCTGCTTAGGTGAGACTATGCAACTAATTTACAATACAATTAGATAAATTTGTCACAGTCTGCAAATTCCCCCTCCCCAACCTTTTTCACACATCCTAGTTTGATTTTATTTTTTCAATTGGTAAAAATCACTTTTTGTAGTGGGCAGTTTTAGGAGAGTTTTAACAGATATTATGCACCTCTCAGTCTCATTACCCCTGAAATTTTCTCATGTTACACCATTATAGCAACTACTTTCCCCATTTCCAATTTCTGGCGACCACTGATCTGTTTTCCTCTCTATACTTTTGCCTTTTCTGGTGTTTCTTTTAATAAAATCAGGCAGTATATTGTCTTTTCAAGATGGCTTCTTTTTCTTGGCAAAATGAATCTAAGATTTATTCATGTTCATATGTGAATCAATAGGTCTTTTATTTTTCTTTCTAAGTAGTATTTCATTGTATGGTGTGTTTATCTTGAAAAAAATAAAAACAAAAATCAGCCCATAAGGTCTGATCTGATGTTCCTGGTCAGGCCACAATGTTATTACAAACTGATCTGTGTTTATAGATAAGCCACATTGTTCCCCTGTTGGACATAAACAATCTCACAGAATATACACTTCAGACAAAGCCATTCTGCAAGCCTCAAAATACAACATCCCAGTCTCTCCTTAAATAAGTAACTTCCAATTGTTTACCAGCTTTAGTTTTAACCATACTCATGTCTGCCTTCTGAATAGTTAAGATGTACTGAGATAATCATAGACTTGCTCCCAATTTCTTACTACACCTTCAACAGAATGAACTTCTGCTTCCTTAGACGCTCTCCAAAATTACCCAACCAAAGGACAAATTACATAATTAGTTCTTCTTAACACTATCTTACAGAGTTACCTCACATTTTCCTTTGGCGAGCATTCTCTTTTACCTCAATGACTAAAAAACCCTACGTGTTCATCTACAAGTATGTTCTAGTGGCCCTGGGCTGTAGAACATTGACAGTCTATCACTGATTGAAGGTCATCTAGATTGTTTCCAATTTTCATTGGTTATGAATCAAGTTTCTATAAGCATTGGCATAGAAGCTTTTGCATGTTTTCACTTCTCTTGGGTAGAACCCTCAGAATTGTATTACTGGCTCATATGGGACCACAGAGACTTTGAACAGCTAAAGCAATAGTGAGCAGAAAGGAAAAAGTTGTAGGCATCAGACTACTTGATTTCAAATTACACTACCAAGCTATAGTAGCAAAAATAGCATGGTAGTGGCATAAAAACAGACTCACAGACCAATAGAACAAAATAGAGAACCATGAAATAAATCCAAGAATGTACACCCAACAGATTTTTGACAAAGATGCCAGCAATATACACTGGGGAAAGGACAGTCTCTTTAATGAATGGTGCTGTGAAAACTGGATAGCAGTTTTTGGTTTCTGGTTACATGAACGAATTATATAGTGTTGAATTCTCAGATATGAGTGCACCCATCACCCAAGTGGTGTACGTTGTACTCAGTATGTAGTTTCTAAATGAGTGAATGATGAGGTGATAAAAAATATTCATTAGAATGCTGCCTTGTGTTCCTAATATTATGAATAGAACTCTAATTCATAGATATTAGAACATGAATGTGTTAGTGTTTACTAAGAATTAGTGAGCATCTACATTCAAAAATTTCTATTGCTCATTTATACTTGTTAAAGTAATAAATTTATCTTTAAAGTAATGAAATAAATAACAAGGATCAAGACCCGTTTAAATATTGCCAGCATAGGTATATAATAACGTCTTGGTATCTCACTTAAGTCCTAACTTTAAACAATGCATATGTGAGTTTTGGGTGCACTTTACCCTATGGAGCACTAAGGTCACTATTTCTCACATATGTTTTGCAGCTGTTCTAGTACAAGAAAGCCTTAAAATTCTTGTGATTTGAGGCAGTTGGTTAACAGTTCATGAACAACATAACAGGGCTGCAATTGAAATGTATTCTTTTGAATCAAGAAGTTGAATATTTGTCAGCACTAAAACAAATACTTCCTTTAAAAAACACAATTTAGAAAATATTTTAAAAGGCTTTCTATCAGGTTTTAATAAATTCATTTTTACATCATAAAGTTGATATGTGGTCAACATTTGTTCTAAGAAAAATAAGATTTGTAAAATGTGTGTGTGTGTGTGTGTGTGTGTGTGTGAGAGAGAGAGAGACAGAGAGAGAGAGAAACGAAAGCCTCCAGCATATGGTAGTCATTGTGCTTGGCACTGGAAATATAACAGACAAACTATATGGTTCCTGTATTCATGGAGCTTAAGGTTTAGGGTAGAAAATTGTAAACATTCACTTGTTATATAGTCTATTACTGCCCATTATTTAATAGGCAATTATAGCAGCATGGTAACTGCTATAACTGAGTGCTGTAGAAGCACATAAAAGGGGCACCCATTCTCTACCAGCAGTGAGTTGCAGGGCAGAGAGTGATTATGGCTGGCTTCCTGGTAGAGGAAGCCATGGCCAAATTGACGCTAGGCACAAAGTTTGAGTAAAAATCAGCTAGGTAGCCAGGGGTGCAGGTGGGCTGGGTGAGGGATTTGGCAGCTAATAGGGTTTGATGAGGAAAGGTCAACAAGAGAACTGAAAGTACCTCAGAATAACAAGAAAATGGCTCCATATGATTAGACACATTAGTATCTATTATTTGAGTTTAATCACCCAGTTTGTAGAATTATTATTTTATATGAAAATGATTTTATTAGTGAGCATAACTGTGATTTTTATTCTTCTCAATGTCCAAGACATTCTACAAAACTTGTTGCTAAGGGGTAATGTTTAGACACTTGCTTGTTATAATCCTACTGAATAGAGTGCTCACCTGCCAAATTAAGTCATAACTTCATCAGCCCCGATAGTGTATTTTTCCAAGTATTTGATTTACTAAAGCAAAGTGGCTTGGGGGCTTATCAAAATAGATTACTTAATCACACAATATATAAAAAAAAGTCATCTACATAGTAAAATATTGTTCATGTTGAACTGCACTGAAAGAATACTTCAGACCTTCACTGACAGGCACAATTCATTCAACCTTTTTGAAAAAAATGTTTTAAACACACAAACGAAATGAATAACTTTGAACTAGATCAGTAACTTGGAGAAACTGCAGTGATGAGAAAAATGTTAAATTCTTGCTCAGAGTATTAGGCTTGTAACTGCTGGGTGCTTTTATTTTTTTCATTATATTGAAAAGGAGGCAGTGATTGTTTCCTGAAAGCTAAGGGGAATACATGAAGGAAATGGATTTGATCCAGAAGGAGAAGAACAGTACTCAAATGGATTTGACATTTTTGACATTTAGTAAAATACCCTGCCTTGTTCTTTCTTTGTTGTGAGCACATGGAGTTACTGGAGTCCAAAATCCCATAAGTGGCAGGAGGAGTAGGCCTGGGGGTCCATGCTTTGTAATGAGAGATAATGACACAGGGAAGGCAGAGTAGAGTCACTGTGTCTCAAGTGAGATATTCTAGGTAAAATGAGATTTTAAAAGGAAATAAGAACATTATTACTGCCTTGGTCTGTTGTGTACCACTATAACAGAATACTAAGCCTGGGTAGTTTATAAAGAACAGAGATTTATTTCTTACAGTTTTGGAGACTGGAAAGTCGAAGGTTGGGAAGCCTGCTATCTGGTAAGGGCCCTCTTGCTGTGTCATTTCATGGTGGAAGGTAGAAAGGCAAGAGAGGAGGAATGCAAGAGAGAAGGAAGGAAACCAAACTCATCTGTTTATGAGAACCCAATTCCATATGAATGTCCTTGATCCATTCATGAACACAGAGCCCTGTTGACCTAATCACCTCTTAAAACTCCCATGTCTCAACTTTTTTGATTGGGGATTAAGTTTCCAACACATGGACTTTGGGGGGCACTTCAAACCATAGCAATTTCGTAACTTAATTATATATCTTCTGAGACGTTTAGAAAAAAATACGTGTGGTAATATATTTATAAAATGTGGTCTACTACTAATAGAAAAGCTACTTCAAGTTCTTTTTGATAGGTTGTTAGAAATGAGATATCAGGGTTTTGTGTTTTTATTGCTGGAGTCGCTTATTTACAATCAGACCAGGTCAGCAACCACTGGCTGTCATTACTATCTGATGGTTGTAACTGATCTTATGAATTGCGGCTACACCTGCCATGTTCTTCTCAGCAGAGACATTAAAGAAATGCCATATGTAGGACAGAATGACACTAGATTAGGGGTAAAGAGACTCAGGTTTTGGATTCCCACTCTGATGCAGATTAGCTGTTTGCCCTTAGGTAAGTCACCTAAATTGTATGAACTCTTGCTTAAACTCTCGAAATGAGAAAGCTTTCCAGATCTATAAGTTTATTATTTAAAAATTAAACCTTGAATTATACTACATTGACCACCAACAGCACAGTGGAAGAATTAATTAAAATCACAAACTAAAAGACATTTCATTCCTTTCTCCGTCAAATAGGTTGTCAGAGAAGATAGTTAAAGAAAAGAATGAACTCAGAGGCAAATAACAAAGCTGCCTTGTGGCAAATGATTTAATTGTCAGCAGGGCTGTCTGACAAGCTGAGTTGAAGAATAATGAAAGCCCTCTGGTTCCAAAATTTCATCACTGGGATTTTCAGCATTCAATGAATTGAGCCTAGCCACAGTTATAATTCAACAAGGTTGCAAATGGATGACCCATCCAACACACTCTCTTCTCTGCTAATATCAGTCCAGTACGTCAGTGTAGGCAAGTGCTCAGCCCAGAATAAGCCTGAAACCTTTACTCAGGAAAAAAGTAGGGCCATCTTTAATCTGCTATTTTTCATAACAGATGATCATTGATTTCATTTCTCTGTTTTTTTAATCTTACTTTCTTCCAACCAGTTAGTTCAGTTTTCTAATTAAAACAACTTATCTTTTTTAGTCAGTGCCTGTAAGAGTTATCCACTTAAAGTGGTTTTGAGTCACCATTTTGAGTCTACTTTATATTGTGCCTACTTATTCTCATTTTAATGCCAGGATTGCTTTAGTTAATTGTTCCAACCATAGGTCTGTTGCAATAAGATAGGACTAACAGACATTAGTTTTCAGTTCAATGGCTTAGTTGTCCCCAACCATTTCAAGTTTTTAATATATTGGACACACTATATGTGTTTGTGTGTGTGTACATTTGTGACTTCATGCATAATATGTGTGTCTGTGTGTGAAGGAAGAAAAAACACAGAGAAACAGAGAGACAAAGAGAGAGACTTCCAGGAGGAAGCAAGTTCTGAGATAGGTTGAATGAATCATCCTTCTCTTCTTACAGAGAGCCACCAATTTAATCATAAGCCCCCAATGTTGTTAGACATATCAACTAAAAAATAAAAATAGCAGTTGAGAATTTAAAGTGAATATAGGTAAATATTAAGAAAAAAATAAAAATTTCACATAATTCATAACAGAGATAAATAGTAAGGCTTGAAAACTTATTTCAGAAACACAGACTCAGGCTCTTCAATTAGACTTTTAAAAATCATTTTTAATTATATCTAAAATTAATTCATATGAACTACCTACCTCAATAAACCAAAAATACTCCCAGAGTTGTTTGAACAGAATTCCTTCTCAGGAAAACACTGTCAGAGACTCTTGGAAATTAGTATTTGCCAAAGCTTAGCCATCCCTGATACTGATTCCAGTCAACCATTTAAAACACCACAAAGATAAAAGACACCAGGCAGCCTGATGTCATTACAGTAATATTACAGGCTCTACACTGAAGATGTAGTATTAGGTTAGTGCAAAAGGTATTGTGGTTTTTGCTATTAAAAGTAATGACAAAGTAATAAAATTTAGGAACTAGCATTTATATACAAGATTTTTTCAGTCTTTTGTTTGTAATTGTGAAATATTAGAAATTAATTATACAAATTACCAGTTTACACTTTTCACATACAAAAAAACAAATAATAAAATTGTATTTTTAAAGAATTTCTAATTATGGGAAATACTAATGATATTTGAATTTAAGTAAAAAATGCAGTCATATACTGTATAATAACATTTTACTCAACAGCAGACAGCATGTACAACACTGGTTCCATAAGACTATAATGGAGCTAAAAAATTCCTATTGCTTAGTGATGTTGTAGTCATCATAAAGTCCGCAGGACACTTCTCACATGTTACGGTGATGCCAGTGTAAACAAACCTACTGTGCTGCCAGTCATATAAAAATGTAGCACATGCAATTATGTACAGTACATAATGCTTGATGATAAAGGACTTTGTCACTGGTTTATGTATTTACTACACTATATTTTAATTATTATTTTAAAATGTACTCCTTATTTTTTTAAAAAAATTAACTGTAACCCAGCCTTAGACAGGTCCTTTGGGAGATATTCCAGAAGAAAGCATTGTTATCATAAGAGATGACAGCCCCGTGCATGCTGTTGCCCCTGAAGACCTGCCAGTGGGACAAGATGTGGAGGTGGATGACAGTGACATTGATCATCCTGACCCTCTGTAGGCCTAGGCCAATGTGTGTGTTTTTGTCTTAGTTTTTAAGAGAAATTTTACAAGTTCAAAAAAATTTAAAAATGTATAAATAGGAAAAAGTTTACAGAACAAGGATGTAAAAAAAAAATTTTGGTACAGCTGTACAATATGTTTGTGTTTTAATCTAAGTATTATTATTAAAAAGTTAAAAAAATTTAAAAGTTTGTGAAATAAAAAAGTTACAGTAAGGTAAAGTTAATTTATTAGTGAAGAATGAAAAATATTTTTTATAAATTGTGTGTAGCCTAACTGTACAATATTTATAAAGTCTACTATAGTATACAGTAATGTTCTAGGCCTTCACATTCACTTGCCACATACTCACTGACTCACCCAGAGCAACTTTTATTCCTGCAAGCTCCATTCATGGTAGGTGCCCCATACATGGGTACCATTTTTTAATCTTTTATACCATATTTTTATTCTACCTTTTCTATGTTTAGATATGTTTAGATACACAAATACTTACCACTGTGTTACAATTGTCTACAGCATTCAAGATAGTAACATGCTGTAAAGGCTTGCAGCCTGGGAGCAATAAGCTCTATCACAGAGCCTAGGTGTACGCTAGGCTATACCATCTAGATTTGTATAAGTACCTTCCACCATGTTTATACAATGACAAAATCACCTAAAAAACACGTCTCAGAATATATTCCCATCATTAAGTAATGCATTATTATATTTAAATTTTTTTAATGTGACATAAACACCGCTGGATGGATAATTTTTACATTTAAAATGACTGCACATGTGTATATATATATACATATATGTGTTTATACAGATGTGTGCATATATGTGTATTTGTGCATGCACCTGCAAACACACATTTACCCCAAAAAAGGCTAAAAATAAACATGCGAGCAATATCAATACATGTTACCTTTAGGCAGTGGTGTCATAAATGATTTTTAGATTTTTTTTCATTATTGTATTTTCTACGTTTTCTATAACTCTCAACTTTAACTTTAAAATTAAAAATAAATAACTTTAAAGCTCTCTGAGACACAGAATTAATTAGTTGCTCCAGTGTTTACCCATTTTATTTTAGTTTGAATTAGTATGGTATATTACCTGGTTAATCTCTGGGGATTTTATTTTTAAACACAGATTCCAAGGCCCCCTTTCTGACTGAAAGAATCAGACTCTTTAAGGATGGATACTGGGAACCAATGTTTTAGCAAAGCTCCAAGAGGGGTTGATTATCAAGGATATGTTTTAAATTATGATCTAAATAACAGATGCAAATGCCTCATGCCCTAATCATGGAACCCCAGTGCTGGCAGGGGTATTCGATTCCGCTACTACAGAAGCCACATTGGATCAGAACTGGAAATTAAGCTACATTGCTAATTAGTCACATAATTTAATAGCAAACCACATCTCCTGATCTCTTTTATTCTTTTTCTTTTCTTTTTTTTTTTTTTTGAGACAGAGTCTCGCTCTGTCGCCCAGGCTGGAATGCAGTGGCGCAATCTCGGCTCACTGCAACCTCCACCTTCCGAGTTCAGGCGATTCTTGTGCCTCAGCCTCCCCAGTAGTTGGGATTACAGGCACGTGCCACCACGCCTGGCAAATTTTTTGTATTTTTAGTAGAGACAGGGTTTCACCATGTTGGCCAGGTGGTCTCCTGATTTCAAGTGCTCTACTGGTTCTCTATTATTATGCATCCTTAAGTTAAGCCTTTTGGATCCATGACCTTTTCCTAGAGTCATTTACAATATGGCTTTTTTCCTGAAATGGCAAAATTATTTGCCCACTTTTTTTTTTTTTTGCAGTAATAACTGTTCTTTGAGGAATGGAACTAAAATAAAGACTTACAGCATTCTAAGCAGCCACCAGTCATCAGAAAGCAATACCTCTTAGTACTGCTGTCTATTTGAATCAAACATAGCTGTCTATGGGTAAAAAGGCTCTTGCTTTCACAGAAACTTGATACATTAAAATTCAAATGTCAGATAACTGAAAATGAACTTGATATATTTAATGTATTATTTTTACAATCTTGTATACTTCAGGAAAATGAAAGCTTTATCAAGATTAAAATTAAAATTTCAAAATACTAGTTTCCATTTTTAACCAATAGTAGAGAACTGATGGAACTATAAAGAAATTGATTTCAATACAAACACAAAGACTTTTTATTTGCTATTTCTAGAGTCCCAGAGTAGAACCATCAGAAAACAGTAGAAAAAGGACAAAGCTTTATTCACCGGCAGCAGGACAACAGTCATAAAGTGAGCTAGCATCCTGACCAAACACTCCTTCTACCCAGCTCTAGCCTATTGTTCCTAAGCTATGTCCATGGACCTGGGCAAGGAGAGATATGGAAAATCTTGTTGGTTTCCCAGCAATGTACATATTCTCTCCCTTCTGGAATAAAACAAATGGGTTATGATGTGTCAAGTTTTCTGCTGTGCCCTAGACTTTTCCCTTCCATTTCCTGTTTTTAACAGTTTTATTGAGGTATAATTAATATATGAGGAACGGCCCAAATGAATGTATAAAATTTGATGAATTATACATAGGCTTACACCTGTGATATTAATACCATCAGCACTTATTCCACTTATATGAGGTATCTATAATAGTCAAACTCATAGAAGCATAAAATACAATATTTATAATTGTTATAGCTTCATGATAAATTGACTTTTATATCACTATATAATGTTCTTTAGCCAGTGTAACAATTTTGAGTTAAAATGTACTTTGTATGACACACATACATACACACACAGAAACAACTCTACTAACATCTCAATTGTGGACTTCCCAGCCTCCTGCACTGTGAGACAATAAATTTCTATTGTTTAAGCCACTCAGCCTGTGTTATTTTGTTATTGCAGCATGAGCAGAGTAATACAATAGTAAACATTCTTATGTAAACACTAAAATATTATCAATAGTGTATAGAACCTACAAGCCAAAAGATGAAAAAACCCGGATTAAGAAAATTATACACTTCACAAAGGGTAAATAAATCACAAAAAGATAAGTCATACAAAGCATAGGATAATTAAAGGTTGTAACAATGAAACCAAGATTATGATTACGATAAATAAAAACAAAATAAATTCCCAAGTTAATATTTAAAGTTCGAAAAAATAATTTAGATATACTCCGAAATAATATGAGGGAATATTTTGTAATATGAGGGTATAATAATATATATCCCCAAAAATCATAAAGTACTAGACAAATACTAACTAAAATATAATAATATCAAATGTGATATAATTTGAGACAAGAAAACTTCCACTAGAGCAACGTTCTTGACGTTGGCATTATTGTCATTTTAGGGTACTGTTCTGTAAGATGTTTACCAACATTCCTAGGCTCCACCAACTAGATCCTAGTTGTACCCCCATCCAGTTGTCGCACCTGAACATATCTCTACACATTGCCAAATGTGAGCACCAATGCCTAGAGGGACATCCCTGGCCTGTCTACATCACTTTACTCACTTCTTGTAGAGTAAAAACAGCTCCTCTGATTGGAAAGTTTGGCAGAAGGAGCGAACCTGTTAGACTCACCCTCTCCCTTTCTTTTCGGATCAGACAGCCTGCCTGCTTGCAGAGTATTCTTTCTTATTTTCTGTGCCACATTTGTATAGGTTTTGCCAATGCTGCTTATAGTTGGGTGGGAAACTTAATTCAGAAATATAAAATAATCTTGGCTCACATGCTGACTTTTATTTTTCAGTCTCATCCTTATCAACAATAAGTGTGATATTTTGATCTCCATATGTCTGATTGCCATGGCTGTGTATCATTTAGTTTCAGCTTATTAAAAATGAGTGTTCGTAATGCCTTAGAACCCAAACAAAATGCCTCTCATTATTAATGTCATTATTAATAATTTTTAACTCCAGAAAACTGCAGTTTTGAAAATTAATTAATTTGTAGAAGTTGATATAGGAGTAAGAAGTAAACATGGGATTTGAATACAGCCCTGACTGTCTCCAGAGCTTATGCTTTTATAATTATTCTAAATCTGATTTTGTTACCCTCTTGCTTAATATTATTCAGTACTTCCCCTAACAATTCTTTATCTGTTCATTAATTCAAATATTTAGGTGCCTAGTATGTGTCATACTTTAGCCATAAAACAATAAATAAAATAGATACAGCCTCCACTCTAAAAATTTTACAATACAGTGCGAGACTCAAACAAGTGACTACTAAAATAAAATGTTGGATTGAAATAGAGATTAAATACATACAAAAAGAGCACCTGACCTCAACCTGTAGGGTGAGTAAAGCTCTGTAAAAGAAGTGATATTAACTAATGGATAGACAAGGGAAAAGGTAAAGGGAAAAGGGTATGCAAAGTATTCAAAGTCTCCAAAGTCCGAATGATTATGGCATGCTATTTCAGTCTGACGAGAATGAGAGTAGAAGAGGTTTGGTAAGGAGTTAGGCTAAAGAAAAACAGAAACTAGATTAAAAAGGAATTTATAAGCCACATTTAGGAGTGTGGGCTTAAATCTTAGCAGATAGGAAGCCATAAAATATATTTTTAAACAAGGCGGTAAAATTATTATATTTACATTTTATTAAAACAATTAATCTGGCTAAGATAGGAGAGAGAGGAAGGAAAAAAAAACAGTAAAAAGTCCAGTCAAAAAAAAAAAAATGTTCAGTCAAAAGACTATCCCGTTGACAAGATGAGAAGAGACATAGAAGGTGTCTCAATGCACTTAGGAAGTAAGGTAAGCTTGGGAGAAAAGGGTAAAGGAGTTAAGAATGATTCCCAGGTTCTGGGATAGATGGTGCCACCATTTACATAGGTGGGGAATATAGGAGGAGAACTGCACTGGGGAGTTAGGCAATCAGGGGAAGACTGACAGCTCATGACTTCAGCCTTAGGTTGAGCTTTAAGCATCTTTCTGGAAATTTTGATGAACATGACAAAAAAGCAGTACAATATCAATTTCTATTCAATAGTTCTCTGAGAAGTTGCTGTGCATCATACACTCTACGCTAGGCATTGTGGGTGCAGTATAGAATAAGGCATGCTTTTTTATCTGCCCTATTGATTCTTACCATCCATGAGGGAATATAGAAGCAGAAAAACTAAGTATATTGATAAGTATATTGATAAATGCTATAAAAGGGAAGTATGAAAAGGAGCAGGTCAGAAAGACAAATATCTATCACATGTTCTCACTCATGTGTAGAAGCTGATCTCAGGGAGGTAGAGAGTAGAATGATAGAAACCAGAGATTGAGAGGGGTGTTGGGGGAGGTGATGAAGACAGGTGGGTTAATGAGTACAAACATACAATTAGATAGAAGGAATACATTCTGTTGTTTGATAGAAGAGTAGAGTGACTATAGTCAACAACAATATATTGTATATTTCAAAATAGCTGGAAGAGAGGATTTGAAATGTTCCCAACACATGGAAATAATGAATGCTTGAGGTGATGGATATTCTAAATACTCTGATTTGATCATTACATATTCTATGCATGTAACAAAATGTCACATGTATCCCACGAAAATGTACAAATATTACATATCAATAAAAATAAATTTAAAAATCAATCAATAAATGAAAAGGTACAGCAAATGTAATCTACTTTGAAGGTGTTAAAATACCCCCTTAAAATTGATATGAAACAAAAAATGCATTATACCTGAAAAGAGATGCCTGATCTGTAAATAAATGGCAGGCCTACTTTACGTTTATTTTCAGAATATGACATATCAAACTACTGAGATATTAAGCTTTGGAAGATGATATGGTTTGGATTTGTGTCCCCTCCCAAATCGCATGTCAAATGGTAATCCCCAGTGTTAGAGGAGGGGTCTGGTGGACAATGATTGGATCAAGGAGGCAGATTTCCCTGCTTGCTGTTCTCATAATAGTGAGTGAGTTCTCATGAGATCTAGTTGTTTAAATGTGTGTAGAACCTTCCCTTCTTTCTCTTCCTCCTGCCCCAGCAATTTAGGATGTGCTTGCTTTCCCTTCACCTTCCTTCATAATTGTACGCTTTCTGGCCTCTCCAGTAATGCTTCCTGTACAACCTCCTGAACCACGAGCCAATTAAACCTCTTTTCTTTATAAATTACCCAGTCTCAGGTAGTTCTTAGAGGTGAAGCCAGCTGGACTTCCTGGGTCCAGTGGGGACTTAGAGAACTTTTCTGTCTAGCTAAAGGATTGTAAACACATCAATCGGTGCTCTGTGTCTAGCTAAAGGATTGTAAATGCACCAATCAGCACTCTGTGTCTAGCTAAAGGATTGTAAATGCACCAATCAGCACTCCATAAAATGGACCAATCAGCACTCTGTAAAATTGACCAGTCAGCAGGTTGTGGGCAGGGACAAATAAGGGAATAAAAGCTGGCCACCCCCAGCCAGCAGCGGCAACCCACTCAGGTCCCCTTCCATGCTGTGGAAGCTTTGTTGTTTTGCTTTTCACAATAAATCTTGCTGCTGCTCACTCTTTGGGTCTGCACCACCTTTAAGAGATATAATACTCGCCATGAAGGTCCACGGCTTCATTCTTGAAGTCAGCACAACCATGAACCCACCAGAAGGAAGAAACTCTGGACACATCTGAAGGAAGAAACTCTGGACACATCTGAAGGAAGAAACTCTGGACATGCCATCTTTAAGAGCTGTAACACCTTGAAGGTCCATGACTTCATTCTTGAAGTCAGCGAGACCAAGAACCCACTGGATGGAATAAATTCTGGACAGAGTTCTTTATAGCAGTGCAAAAATGGGCTAATACAGCAGATGCTATAGTTCTTAAGCTTTGTAATGACAATCCCAGAGATATGTTCATAATCTAATTTTATTTTTGCAATTTACTTTTTCCTAAGCTTTTTATACACCAAATATATTATTGAATAACTTCTATGAGCCATTAGTACAGTTGTGATGGACTATCAAAAATGTTATATAAGTGATGGAAAATGAGATTTATTGAAACCAAATGATTTGAGCTTTGACTTAGAATTTATGCTGTTGGTCTTGATCAGATAGTATGCAGTTATGGAAAGTTTATGATCTAGTAATTTGTCATGGTCATAGGTCTGCCACAGAAAGACTGATTTATAAAAGCTTTCCTGATAAGCCCATGCTAGTTTAATGGTATTTTAATGTGTTTTAAACTTGGATCCACCTCACACTATTGTCTGATGTTGTTTTAGTTGCATATTGGTCTGATATTTTAAACATAAATTGTTCTCCTACATTCCTTACTAATTTGATTATTGATTTTGGAAAATGCATTAACAGTGCTTGGTATGAAGGCAAGAACTTAATTGTACTATCAATATTCATGTAGAGGTCTAATAATAAAAGACAATAAGGAGTTTAATTAAAGGGGCATGAAGATTCCAAACTTTTCCTCCCTTATTCAGTGCTCATTACAATATCAAGGCAAAATGAAGACTTTGATTTGTTGTTTGATATCCCAGCTAATTAACTGTAATTCCTTTATTAAAAAGTAGGCATAATAAGGTGAAATCAGTTATAGCATCTCTATAATCAGGCTGAGGACGATGGGGAAGGTGAAGACTTCATTTTTCCTCAAATAATATGCAGATGAATTATATTTAGCATTTAGCATGAAGTCCTTAAGATGCCTAGTTTAGAACTTTAGAGTTTATGGGTGGTGCCAGAGGTCATAAAGTACAGTAATGCATTACTACAAGCAAGGATCAGAGACCTCTAGATGAGAGTGACAGCTGTCAGCACTCTGACTATAACAATATGAGTCGGATGGACAAAGTATGAACATCGTATCAAGAGGGGTATGGTATAGGTGTAGAACTGGGAAGTTTGGAATCATATAAAACTTCTAGGAAACCATGAAATGCTTGCTCTCTGTTCAGACTAAGCCTACCCTTTCTTGACTTCATCCAATGACATGCAAGACAATTTAGGACAACTTTTGACCTCCTGCATAATGGATGTCTATGTCTATATCTCTATAGATATCTCTATAGATATCTCTATATCTCTATAGATATCTCTATATATAGATATAGAAATATAGATATAGATATCCATTTTATTTATATATATAAAGCCCTGGTGTGTGTGTGTGTGTGTGTGTGTGTGTGTGTGTGTGTGTGTATATATATATATATATATATATATATATATATATATATATATATATATAATGTTTCTTTCTCTAACCATAGGATTGGGAAGATTTCTATTTTTGTCATCTGTCTGATTTAAGTTTTATACAATGAACTTATGCTTCTTTCATGAACAGGGAAGAATTAATTCATTTACAATCCCTTCTCTAACTTAGCATATATAAATATTTCAACAGACTCGAAGTTATCTACAAGTCTTTTAAGGTTATTATAATGTTAATAAATTCCTAGGGAGCAACATATTACCTTTTTAATAGCTTAAATTATTACCTGGACATAGCTGCCACGACTAATATTAATGAAATAGCAAGTACTTGGAAGCATTACTAATAGAATTTTTTACCTTGGGAGAAAAAGTGCCACAGAAAATAAATTAAATGGCAGTCTACATTATCATGTAGTTATTGGTATTAGAACTCTCCATTTGACTGCACGTTCTAAAATTTTATTTGTGTTCTAAAATGTGATACATTATCTGCATGTGAGACCCAGCTAACTGTGCAAGGGAATGGTTACTAGACAATGAACTTAAAAACTTTTGATTACATAAATGTCTTCTTTTGACAAGTGTCTGTTCATATCCTTCACCCACTTGTTGATGGTTTTTTTTTTTTTCTTGTAAATTTGTTTGAGTTCATTGTAGATTCTGGATATTAGCCCTTTATCAAATGAGTAGATTGCAAAAATTTTCTCCCATTCTGTAGGTTGCCTGTTCACTCTGATGGTAGTTTCTTTTGCTGTGCAGAAGCTCTTTAGTTTAATTAGATCCCGTTTGTCAATTTTGGTTTTTGTTGCCATTGCTTTTGGTGTTTTAGACATGAAGTCCTTGCCCATGCCTATGTCCTGAATGGCGGACACGTGAAAAAATGCTCATCATCACTGGCCATCAGAGAAATGCAAATGAAAACCACAATGAGATACCATCTCACACCAGTTAGAATGGCGACCATTAAAATGTCAGGAAACAACAGGTGCTGGAGAGGATGTGGAGAAATAGGAACACTTTTACACTGTTGCTGGGACTGTAAACTAGTTCAACCATTGTGGAAGTCAATGTGGCGATTCCTCAGGGATCTAGAACTAGAAATACCATTTGACCCAGCCATCCCATTACTGGGTATATACCCAAAGGATTATAAATCATGCTGCCATAAATACACATGCACACGTATGTTTATTGCGGCACTATTCACAATAGCAAAGACTTGGAACAAACCCAAATGTCCAACAATGATGGACTGGATTAAGAAAATGTGGCACATATACACCATGGAATACTATGCAGACATAAAAGAATGATGAGTTCATGTCCTTCGTAGGGACATGGATGGAGCTGGAAACCATCATTCTCAGCAAACTATCACAAGGACAAAAAACCAAACACCGCATGTTCTCACTCCTAGGTGGGAAGTGAACAATGAGAACACATGGACACAGGAAAGGGGAACATCACACACTGGGGCCTGTTTTGGGGTGGGGGGAGCGGGGAGGGATAGCATTAGGAGATATACCTAATGTTAAATGATAAGTTAATGGGTGCAGCACACCAACATGGCACATGTATACATATGTAACAAACCTGCACTTTGTGCACATGTACCCTAAAACTTAAAGTATAATAATAAAAAAAAGAAACTGTCAAAAAAAAAACAACTTTTGATTAACAGAAATGGTCTCTATTTTCAGAAGACCTACAGAAATCAGAATGGCAACAGCACATTTTGTACATTCATAAGAATAATGTTAAGTTGTACTATTTTAGTGAACTTAGAAAGTTACAATCATTGTCCTCAGCATAGCTTTCTCATCTCATAGATGTAGAAACTGAGGCCTAGGATAAAAGGATAACTTGCCTAAAGTTTCTCAAATCATTAAAGAGTACAGAAAGAATTTGAACCAAGCTTATCTAATAATTCTTGACTCTATCATCTGAACTACTCTTATTGGTTAATAGTAGTTAACTATTCATTAGAATTTATATGAGGTGTTGGTGGATAAAAGAAGGGTAGGCTTTATTTGCCATTATTTGTGATAAAAATCCATTCATAATTGAATTGGTGAAATTTCAGTGACTGTTAAATTGGATATCTAAAAAGAGCTAATAAAATATTGAGCAGATTCTCTATAATTTATATGTTCATATATACATGTGTTCATAAGTTAATCACTTGCTTTGCTTCTTTGCTTAACTCATTCATAATTCCTGAGTGTTCCAATGTTTTCCCCTTTCTTGATTACAGAATGGCTCAGACCAGAAGTTCTTAAAATTCCTTTGGAAATAAACCCATTTAAAAAGTTGTATAAAACTCTGGGTCTGTTTCATCAATCCTTAAATGCCCACGCAAACAACAACAACAACAACAACAAAAACCCACAAGTGTCCACAGACTATTTAAAGAGTTCATTTGTCTCCCGAAACTAGAGTGACCACAAACCTGGTTTTCGCAGGACAGTCCTGCTGTATACCTGTTGCCAGTGTCCCAGATGACTGTAATAGTACCCTGATTAAAACAGTAAATTATATGAACTCTCTACCTAAAAAGACTTGTATTTAAAATATATATTCATTCTTAATTTTCCTTTTATACTTAATTCTTTATTTTTAATTTTTGTGGGTACATAGTAGGTATATATATTTATGGGATACATAAGATGTTTTAATACAGGCGTGCAATGTAAAATAAGCACATCATGGATAATGGGGTATCCAGTCCCTCAAATATTTATCCTTCGAGTTACAGTCAGTCCTATTACACTCTATGAATTATTTTACAATATACAAGTAAGTAACTATTGACTATAGTCACCCTGTTTCAGTGTCAAATAGTAGGTCTTATTAATTTTTTTCTATTTTTTGTGCCAATTAAGTAGCCCCCTTCCCCCACTCCCCACCCTCCCACTACCCTTCCCAGTCTGGCAATTATCCTATGTCCATCAGTTCAATTATTTTGATTTTTAGACCCCACAAATAAGTGAGAACATGCGATGTTTGTTTTTCAGTGCCTGGCTTATTTCACTTAACATAATAATCTCCAGTTCCATCCATGTTGTTGCAAATGCCTGGATCTCATTCTCTTTTATGGCTGTGTAGTTCTCCGTTGTTTATATGTACTACATTTTCTTTATCCTTTCATCTGTTGATAGACATTTAGGTTGCTTCCAAATCTTAGCTATTGTAAACAGTGCTGAAACAAACATAGGAGTACAGATATCTCCTAGGTATACTGATTTCCTTTCTTCGGGGCATATACCAAACAGTGGGATTGCTGGAACATACGGAAGCTCAATTTATAGGTTTTTGAAGAACCTCCAAACTGTTCTCCATAGTGGTTGTGCTAATTTACATTCCCACGAACAGTGTGCAAGGGTTCTCTTTTGTCCACATTTTCACCAGTATTTGTTATTGCCTGTTTTAGGATACAAGTCATTTTAACTGAGGTGGGATGGTATCTCACTGTAGTTTTGATTTGCATTTCTCTGATGATCAGTGATGTTGAGCACCTTTTCATATACGCATGCTTACCAATTGTATGTCTTCTTATGAGAGATGTCTACTCAAATTTTTTGCCCATTTGTTTATTGTATGACTAGATTTTTTTTTTCCTGTAGAGTTGTTTGAGCTCCTTATATAATCTGGTCATTAATTCCTTGCCATGTGGGTAGTTTGCAAATATTTTCTTTTATTCTTTGGGTTGTCTCTTCACTTTATTAATTGTATACTTTGCTGTGCAGAAGGTTTTTAACTTGATATTATGCCATTTGTCCATTTTTGCCTTGGTTTCCAATGCTGGTGGGAGTACTCCTCGAGAAATTTTTACCCAGACAAATATGCTAGAGATGTTCTCCAGTGTTTTCTTGTAGTAGTTTCACAGTTAGATATCTTAGATATAAGTCTTTAATCCATTTTGATTTGATTTTTGTATATTGCAAGGGATAGTGGTCTAGTTTTATTCTTCTGCATATGGATATCCAGTTTTCTCAGCACTATTTAATGAAGAAACTGTCTTTTCCCCAGTAAATGCTCTTGGCAACTTTGGCAAAAATGAGTCCACTCTAGGTGTGTGGATTTGTTTCTGGGTAATCTATTCTGTTCCATTGGTCTTTGTGTCTGTTTTTATACCAGTACCATGCTGTTTTAGTTACTATAGCTCTTTAGTATAATAGTCAGTTAATATGATTCCTCTGGTTTTGTTCTTTTTCCTTAGGATAGCGTTGGCTATTCTGGTTTTTTTGTGGTTCCACACAAATTTTAGAATTATTTTTTCTATTACTGTGAAGAAAGTCATTGGTATTTTGATGGGTATTGATTTGAATTTGTAGATCACTTTGGGTAGTATGGACACTTTAACAATATTAATTCTTCCAATCCATGAACAGAGAATATTTCTCTATATTTGTGGTGTTCTCTTCAATTTTCTATTTCTTTCATCAGTGTTTTATAGTTTTCATCATAGATACTGGATACTAGAACTTTATCAGATGCATAGTTTGCAAAAATTTTCTCCTATTCTGTAGGTTTTCTGTTCAATCTGTTGATAGTTTCCTTTGCTGTGCAGAAGCTCTTTAGTTTAATTAGGTCTCATCTGTCAATTTTTACTTCATTGCAATTGCTTTTGTAATCTTCATCATGAAATCTTTTCTCATTACTATGTCTAGAATGGTATTACCTAGGTTGTCTTTCAGGGGTTTTATAGTTTAGAGTTTTACATTTAAGTCTTTAATCCATCTTGAATAGATTTTTGTATATTGTATAAGGAAAGGGTCATTTCAATCTTCTGCACATCGCTAGCCAGTTATCCAAGCACCACTTGTTGAATAAGGAATCCTTTCCCCATTACTTGTTTTTGTCAGGTTTGTAAAAGATCAGATGGTTGTAGGTGTGCAACCTTATTTCTGGGTTCTCTATTCTGTTCCATTGGTCTATGCATCTGCTTTTGAAACAGTACCATGCTTTTTGAGTGTTTCTGTAGCCTTGTGATGCCTCCAGCTTTGCTCTTTTTGCTTAGGATTGTCTTGGCTATTCAGGCTCTTTTTCGGTTCCATATGAATTTTAAAATAGTTTTTTTTCTAGTTTTGTGAAGAATGTCAATGGTAGTTTAATAGGAATAGGATTGAATCTATAAATTGCTTTGGACAGTATGGCCATCTTAACAATATTGATTCTGCCTATCCATGAGCATGGGATGTTTTTCCATTTGTTTGTCATCTCTCATTTCTTTCAGCAGTGTTTTTTTGTTCTCCTTGAAGAGATCTTTCACCTTCTTGGTTAGTTGTATTACTAGGTATTTTATTTTTTTGTGACAATTGTGAATGGGATTGTGTTCCTGATTTGGATCTCAGGTTGACTGTTTTTGGCATAAAGGAATGGTTCATTTTAAAACAAAGGTATTAATTAGGCATTTAGATAACACAAAGCAAACTTCACTTTTACTCTATATTTATAATTGTGTAGAAACACATTTACAGATAAATACACATATATGTGTATTTATATAGGAATATGAAGTGTTTCACAGACCTTTACTTAGAAAAATCAGCTATTATATTATTCTTTCAATTATAAATGTTACTACTTATTTTAATTATAGCAAAAAGCAATCAAAAACACTTGATCAAACCAATTTCTAGAGGACAAAACCCTATTTTGAATACAACAGAAAAATTAATAACTTAATTTCTGTGACTGAAACTTACTTTGGAAAAACTTAGAACAAGAAAAACAATTCAGAAAAAAAATCACTTAATGTCTAAATGTCTGTAAAGAACCTGGAAATAACTGTTTCCAATTTCATAGGGAAATGGCCCTACATACTATAAAGGTGATTTTAAATAATAAATATATTTCCCTCAAAATAAACTAACAATTTGAGATTATCATTTTCTCTAAAAATAATAATCTCCTTGAATTTTCATCATGACATATGGCTTCACTTAATGTATTGTGCTCTTCAGCATTTTTTTCAACTTTTTTTATCAGGTCTCTACAGTGAAATATTCAATCAAGTTTCAATGCAGTAATCAAATTATCCTGTTCTTATGATTTCACCTTGTTCTCAGATGTAGTCTCATTTCATCTAATTCTCTGCATAAGAAAATTCCACATTTTCCGTCAATATACTTGTATTTAATCATAAACAATCATGTCATTTTTTGGCTTGGTGAGAATTCAAAAATGAATTGTTCACTTTTAAGCCTCTTACAAAAGCACATAGAATAAAAACTTGAGTTAATCTTCAAAATAAGATTTAAACATTTCTAGAGCACTCTTAGTTTATTTTTGTTTTTCTTCTTTTAAATGGGACACAATGTCATTTTGGACAAAACATTTTTTTTCCTTCAGAGCAATTTCAAAAACATTCTAATGCTCCCTACCCCCACCCTCCCCTACACACTCACTCCTTCCTTTGGAAGACTTGTTTCTCCTCCCCATCCATGTTAATGTTATTCTGCCAAGGGTCTTAATTATTTTATTACACTCACTAGCTATGATAATTGTTTCAGAGTTTGCACTTATGTCTGAAGCCAGACTATTCAAACGTTTGCCCCACATTTTTATGTACTGAATCTGAGAAAGACACCTCCCTCCTTTAAGACTGATGAACTGTAATAATACAAGCCTGGAGCTGCCTGTATCCATTTCTTTTCTTTCGCATGCCTTGTATAGGAATAGCCTACCTACTTGTTTTTGTTTGTTTGTTTGCTTGAGGTGGGGTCTTGCTCTGTCATCCAGGTTTGTCTGTTTGTTTGTTTGTTTGAGGACAAATCTTGCTCTTTCCTCCCAGGCTGGAGTGCAGAGGCATGATCTTGGCTCACTGCAACTTCCACCTCCAGGGTTCAAGCGATTCTCCTGCCTCAGCCTCCAGAGTAGCTGGGATTACAGGCACGTACCACCACACCCAGCTAATTTTTTTTGTATTTTCAGTAAAGACAGTGTTTCACCATGTTGGCCAGGCTGTCTCAAACTCCTAACCTCAAGTGATCCGCCCACCTCGGCCTCCCAAAGAACTGGGATTACAGACGTGAGCCACTGGGTCTGGACTGCCTACCCATATGTAACAGAATAGAAGTCTGAACTACCAAGTTAGAAGACATACAAACCTCTAGAAGACTACCTTCACTTCTGGCACCAACTGCAAGTTTGAACCATTTCCAAAACCATTCTCGTGTTTTATAATTAGCTAGACAGACTCACAGAACTCACTGAAAGCTCTAATTCTCATGATTACAGTTTATTACAAGGAAAAGATACACGTAAAAATTATCCAAGGGAAAGAGTGTACATGGCAGAGTCTAGGAAGTTTCCAAATGCAGAACTTCTGTTGCCCTTTCGCCATGGAATCAGGATGCATTACTCTCTTGGCATTGATGTGTGACAATTATGCAGAGGGTACTGCCAACCAGAGAAGCTCACCTGAACTTCAGTATTCAGAGTTTCACTGAGGCTCCATTATGTAAGCATGATTAATCTCCCGTGGGGCTGATTTCAGTCTGCATCTAGACTGATACAACACGACCCAAAGCCCCCACACTAAGTCACATTGTTGCTCCTTCTGGCATGGTCAGTTCCTACCCTAACACTATACAGGTGGGGCCAGCCAAATTCTTTACTCCCCACAGGTTTATAGGTATAGATGAGACAGACATACAAATAAAGAGACAGAGAGAGAGCGTGACTTTTTGAGTCCTATAGCTGATGGTGATGGAGGACTACACAACCTCTGTCTGTCCAAGTTACATGAGTCAATATATTACCATGCGTGTCATTAAAATCTAACATTGCTTCTAGGATAAGAAACTCTTCTCTCAAACTTTTTTGTATAGACAGAGTTTTCTAGACACTAAGGCACCTTTCAGCTCAATCTGTATTTACTATTTACCTGCCATGGAAGATGGAAAGTGAAAGGAGCTAGTAGGGCAGGGTGCAGGCTAAGACAGGAAGCTGAACTCTATAGGTCAAAGTATCCGTATTTAAGGAGCTTTCAGTTATGCATTATCCTCCATTGATCCTGTCCAAATGGCAGATCTGCTTAGTATGGATAGTGCCAGAGTATTTCTTTACTAAAGCTTCAGTGTTTAGAGCTAGAGTGATGATTGAAACAATTCTAAGTAAGAAAGTCAAGCCTGACCAAATTCAGAAACACCTGCTGTAGTAGACAGAATAATGAATCCCACAACGATACCCATATCCTAAAACCTGTGACTATATTACCTTACGTAGCAAAACAGACTTTGAAGATATGATTAAATGGGGGATCATGAGATAAGGAGATTATCCTAGATTATCCAGGTAATCCAGATAGGCTCAATGCAATTATAACAGTCCTTATAAGGGAAGGCAAGCAGGTCAAAGTCAGAAAAGATGTGAGGATGGAAGCAGAGGTTGGAGTGATGCACTTCAAGGTTAAGGGAGAGGCCATGATCTGAAGAATTCAGGCAATGTCTGGAAGGTGAAATGGGAAGGAAACAGATTATCCTGAGCCTTCGGAAGGAGCACAGCCCTGATGACACTTGATTTTAACCCCATAAAACTGATTTAGGATTTATGACCTCCAAAACAGTAAGGTAATAGGTTTGTGTTGTTTTAAGCTATCTCGTAGCAATTTGTTTTAGCAGCAATATGATCCACATGCACGAACTCAATTTTAAAACAAGAGGCCTGAAGTAGTACCCAATAAATTTGAGAAAGTACTAAGGTCCTTCAGTTTCCCTTTTAGAGTAGAATTGGCCACGATGGGAATTTATTCATATCACTCATACAAAAATAACTTCCCTCTAATTATACAACCTCTGTTTCATGTCATTTTTTTTTCAATTAAGCATGCAGCAGAATAGTTAACAACTTGTACTTGTTTTGTTTCATGGTGTTGTTTTGCTATTATCCATTGCCCATTCTTCATTCTTGTCTTTTTTTAAAGAAGGACTCCCCTGCAATCCTCTATCCATGGTCTTTGGCTGCAACAAATCTACTATAGAGCTTCGGGGATGGGCACATGATGCCACCTCCAGCTAGGCAGAAGATTCTACATGTTTAACTATAATGATTGGTTCAGGAAAATGCATGTAACCCTAGTGAAAATCAAGACCAGATCTTTAGGCTGGTGCCAAGGGGCAAGTGCAGTCCTGGAGCTGCTGGTGACTTTCATCATTCATGCAGTGAAGTTTACTATCTGAGAAAAGAAGGTCATACAGGAAAAAGCACAGGCAGGAGATGGAAATTGAAAGAAACAGAGACTGAGAGAGACAAAGAGACAGAGCATCAGAGAGAAAGACAGAGAGAGATCTAGGCTCTGGTGCCAGCTGTGACCAAACAAGATCACTTTATTTGATCCTTGTAGTTATGTGAACAATTAAGTTTAATTGTTGGTTTAAACAGTATTTTAAAGGGGGTTTTGTGACTGGAAAAGCTAAACTCTTGACTCACACAAGTAGCTCAGGTGCACTCAGATTAAAACAGTATGAAGCAGATGGGAGCCCAGCTGGATCTCGAGAAGTGCAAAAGATTCCAGTTTCTCCAACTCTGACTTCATAGATCATGGAAATATTCACAGACATTCAGAAAAACAAGAATCTCTCACCTATTCACAGGTGCCTGGGATTTCTTCAAAGAAGCATTCACCAAACTAGTGGTAAAGGCTTAAAATTTTATACACCTAGATGAGGGAAATTTATAACTGATTTACTTAGTGTCACTAAAGTAATTTTATTAGGAAAACTGAGGCACTCTGAAACTAAAAGGAACACTAATATTTATGTCAAGGCAACAGGCATAAACAATGACTATTCCAGGCAAAACAGGATATGGTCATCCTACCCAAAAGGAGTATGGCAAGTAAACTGGCTTTTGTTTCAGAAAGCTTGAGTTCAAACCCTGCTTCTGTCACTGCAGGCTTGTAGGCTGTTTAGCACTCCGGATTTTTTTTTTTTTTCTTATTTTAAAATAGTTGGGATAGAACTCTCGAATGATTACTGTGAGAATCAAACACTTGATAAAAAAATATATAAGCACTTAACCATAAACACTTATGTCAACTAGTTTTATTATTATTATTAGAATCTTATTTTGTTAGAAGGAAGAAAGGAAGAAGGGTACCACAGAGATGAAGTGAGACAGGAAAAGGTAAAAGGATGAAAAGTGGTCAAGGGGCCAGCTCTAGGTTTGAGTGTGTACCTGTGGGCGGCTGCAACCTTTCTTGAAGGCAGAGGGCACCACCTAGAGGTAACATGGGTGCATTACATTCTATTGGCTGCGCTCCTGAGTCTGTAATAAGGACATTTTGTTAGCATTTCCATCAAAGGAATTGATCATTGAGGGGCTGGCAGCCTGCCCACCTCCACAAACAGGAGTGAACTCTGGCCCTACTCTGATCCATTTAAATATTATGTGACCATCTTAAAAAAAACACTTCTCAGTAAATCTTTGATTTTACTTCCTTCGACTTAGCTAGCTAGAGACTTGGATGCAAGCCCCAGCTCCCCTACAAGGAACTGTGGGATCTTAAGAAATTTCCTAAAATGAGGCTGTATCAGAGTCGTTTAACAGAAAATACCGTGTAGTCCAATTTGAATTCAACATCTGGCTCCACTAATTACCTTGGAAAAGTTATTTGCCCTTCAAATATCTTCATTTTCTCAGAAAAAAAAAAAAAAAAAGATGAAAATAACAACAGTACCTTTCTCACGAAGTTGTTATGAGGATTAAATGAGATGCTGCATGTAATGCACTCGCAAGAGCAGCTGGCTGATGCAAACTGTGCTTGATAGCTCATTATTTTCTCCTTCGTTGGTGCCTCCCAGACATAACCTTTTACAGTTAAAATAATGTAGTCTAAACCAATGCAAGTAGACTTTATCTAGCTTTTAAAATTTATGAGGGCCAGGTGTGGTGGCTCATGCCTATAATCCCACCACTTTGAGAAGCCAAGGCAGGAGGATTGCTTGAGCCCAGCAGTTTGAGACCAACTTGGGCAACATGGCAAGACCTCGTCTGTACAAAATATTTAAAAATTAGCTGGATGTAGTGGTGCGTGCTTGTGTTCTTAGCTACTTGGGAGGCTGAGGTGGGAGAATAGCTTGTGCCCGGGAGGTCAAGCCTGCAGTAAGCTGTATTCACGCCACTGCACTCCAGCCTGGGTGACAGAGTGAGACCCTGTCTCAAAAGAGAAAGAGGGAGGGAGGGAAGGAAGGAAGAAAGGGCGAAATTTATGTAGCCTTTAGCTTAACAAGTCCAGCTTCCTAAACTTCTAGTTCTAACTCATATTTTTCCCTAGTTGACTGACTTAAAGATGTGCTACCCTTTCAATTGCTGATGTACAGACCCATGACTCTGCATCCCTCAGGATATCTACTTACTTATTATTGAACAAAATCTAATTAGGCAACTAAACTCAAAGGAAGTATCTAAGGAGAAGCCCATCAGCCTCCAAATAATCGCTGCCTTTTCATTCTATGCAGATTGAAATTTGCAATGGAAATGAGATCAGTACCATGTATATTCTTAGTTTGGAATATTCAAGTGGCACATTTCTTCAGATTTAACATGTACAGTATTTTAAACAACAATAGTTGTTTGACAGAAGACTCCAAACTCTTTTTATGCAGCTGTTGCTTTCAGTTGCTGAAAGATAAGAAATTTTAATTATATGGTGAAACATTTTCATCAGGAGCTTCTTGGAAATATCTTTTCTAATACATAAATTGACCACTTGTGCTGTTTTATCTCTATTCTCATTACTGAAAATTATTTGAAGTTCCATACAAATTGAATAGCTTAAAATAGATTAAAATTCTGGGTTAAAAATACAGGAATCAAATTCAAGGTTTTTGAACACTCTGTCCTTTTTGTTCTAGCCCATACAAGTTCATCAACTCACAATTAACTGAGTAAGTATTGTGTTTGGTCTAACAGATCTGGGCATGAGCTCTATGCATGATTTATCACAAGCATATAGGATTTCTTTTACAAGGTGAAAAGGAAAAAACCAATAAGGAAAGTCTGATATTATTTTTGTCTCTTTTGTTAAACTTGCTCTATAGAGCACATGCAGTGATCAAAATTTACTCAAAAACCTGAAGAATTTCTGTAGTCTTTAAAAATGTAGAGACAAAAGCTAGTCGTTAAAAATAATCTAAAAAAAAAAGAAAAAAGAACAGTTTGTCTCTTAGAAAAGAAGAGCCCTATGAATCTGCATTATTATTCATTTAAACTCAATTTCAGAACCTATGTAAAAAATAGACAAGATCTGAAACCTTAAAAACTAACACATACCAAGGATATATTATTTTCTGGTTTAATTATTTTATTTTTTTCTAAGATATAGCTATAAAGTAAACATGCAGCATTTAAATACATGTGTAGATTGTAAAAGTCATTTTCATTAATATCCATCTAATTATGAATTATTAGATACCCACCCAAATATCACACTGTCCTAAGAAAGATAAAATGATGCTGGTCAGAGTAGAAAACCCAAATTTATCAAGAAATTGATGGAAGCATCTAATGAGAAATGCTAAAGAATAGAACAAACGCTGATTAAAAACTTGATGCAAAGCCTATAAAGGCATGACAGTGCAAATAAAGTCACATGAGCCAGTAGGCAATGCCATGTTTGGTGATGAAGACATCTGGCATTAGACTTTTGGATACCACCCTGAATCACAAAAGGCATCAATTTTGAAGTCAAGTTATGAGGACTACACTTCTAAGGCTGAGATCATTAGAAGTGTTATTTAAACAAGTTGCTTAACTTTGTCCTCAAACTCCACATATACCAAACAAGTTAGTTTGATTTGTAATTTTAACATAAGACACAAAGAAAGGCTTTGTGTCCATGAACTCTGGTGAAGGAGAGGTGTCTAGAGGTATGTGTGACTCCCTAAAATTTACTACTTTTTTAGAGACAAGGTCTTGCTCTATCACCTAGGCTAGAGCACAGCATTGCAATCATAGCTCACTGCAGCCTCGAACTTCTAGGCTCAAGTGATCTTCCCACCTCAGCCTTTTGAATAGTTGGGACTGCAGGTGCAAGCCATGGTCCCTGGCTAATAACAACTTTATTAAATAATTATTATGATGTATTGCAGTCTTGAAATTAAATACATCAAACCTATGAAAAATATTCTGAGAGTATTCAGCATTTTAGCAAAATTATGCAACCAAATTCATGGATGATAAACACAACATGGTTCAACAAGAAACAAGCATGGATATTTAGAGATCATTTATAACCTGTCTGAATGATGTAAACGAGAAAAATGTGCCATTCCACAATGGATCCCCTGGGGCTTCTCTATTAAACGGACCAGCAAGCAGTATGTATCGATTAGGATACATATCTTAAATATGCAAATAGTGGCCACGCCAAAGAGATCTCCCAAGATATTTAGAATAATTTTAAAATTATACATCATGAGAAGACTGGCCTCCTTGTATGTGTAAAACACACAAGAAGATATAACGTAGTGCTCTGAAGCTGGAGTCACTGTCCTCATTTTTAAGCTTGTATTCTCATGATATTCATGGGACCCTACTTCCCTGTAAGAGCTTTTTTGACTATTAGAATGAGGCTCAAATTCAACTGTGCCTCCAAATATCTACCCTGTGACTATGTCTGAAGGAGAGAAATCCTGTAAAATCATTTTAAACAACCAGCAGTTATAAAACACAAAGTCCTCCCTCTTCTGATTTGTATTAGAATTGCTATTACATCATTTCAACATGTAATTTTCAGATTTTAACTAATGTCTGTTGCAGTTTTAAAATGCATTTAACTTTTCTCATATGTCATCTAGGACCTAACAGTTAAAAGAATCACTAAGAAAAGGAGAGTCTTTGAACATCGCTATTTTTTCAGCTTCAGCTTTACAAATAACATTGACCGTCAAGAATATTATTGCTTCACAACAGCATTTAGATGAAAGTTTCTTTTAGTTCAGCCATGATGAGATGCTTTTTCTCAGACATGTTTGTGATTTTTTTTAGTTTCTTTTCATTGTCCTATTAATCCAAATATATATTAGTAAGCACACTAATGATTGTTTAATTGATTGCTATTTTAGCTCCATTGCCTTATCAAAGAAAGGGAACTTTCATGAATCCCTGGTATTTCTTTCAGATTATCTGTATGCACATTTCATCCGGTTCTCAGATATCGTCACTTGTTCACCACAGTAGAAGACTCAGAAATACCCATGGCAACACACTGGAGATCCTCACTGCCTCAAGGGCAGAGCTGGTTTGAACACGGCCTTTCCATTGCTTCACTGCCCGCCATTCACCCTCAAGGTCCATTCTGTGCCAAGGCATTGCATGTTCTCAAGGCAATGACCCTGGAGAATGAATAGCCATGTGTGGCAGTATAAGTGCTTGGAAGGTGACTTAGCCCATTTGAACAATAAAACTGTCTTTTAAACAGGTCACAGTTTGTCTCAGAAATATTTTTTAAGGTTCCAATAGAAAAAGAGTTGAACAGTGGAAACTAAAGTATGAAACACATCTCTAAAAATAAGGAAACTAGTGTGTCCGTTCCTCTCCCCAGCTAGTTTGTTTAATTCTCTCTCACACTCTATGTATTACTACTCCCAAGAAAAAACTAGGATCCTTTTTAATTAAAACATAATCTTATTAATAAGACAAACAAGGTCCTCCAGAAAATTTCCTATTTTTCCAGAGCATGTTTTTTTTTTGAGAAACACTCAAATTATTAGTTTTGCGAAAGAAGAAAATAGTGAACAAAACATTTTCAGCTCTCCTATCACACTGTAACATGGCATTCCACATAATTGCCTTTTTGTGTTCACCTTAGGTCTTGAAGTTCCTCTACTACCATGTCCATAAGCAAAGGCTACAATCCTTAGGACTTAGAACACTTGATATCTCTCAATCCTCTCTCCTAGGTTTTCCTCAGCAAGAAAAGCACCACTCATTTGTCAATCCTTAATCATAACAACCCTGTTATTTTATGACAGTCATAAATTTATTCTGCTGTATCTCCAACTAAATTATAAACCCTGATAAAAAGTTTGTCTGATTCATTTTTCTATCCTGAAGTTTAACACAGTGCCTGGCATAGAGCTGGCATTCCATAAGTATATAATGAATTATACAAAAGAAAATGCAATTAAATCATAATAATGGGCAGATAGTTCTTCAGCTTTTTAAAAATGTCTTATCTATAAAGCTGAAAACACTTTGGAGTTCATGTAGTTCTTTCCTTTTGTGTTATACCTAAGAAATTATTATTATTATTTTTTTTTTCTTTTTTGAGACAGAGTCTCGCTTTGTCACCCAGGCTGGAGTGCAGTGGTGCTATCTCTGCTCACTGCAAGCTCCACCTCCCAGGTTCATGTCATTCTCCTGCCTCAGCCTCCCAAGTAGCTGGGACTACAGGTGCCCACCACCACGCCCTGCTAATTTTTTGTATTTTTAGTAGAGAAGGGGTTTCATCGTGTTAGCCAGGATGGTCTCCATCTCCTGACCTCGTGATCCACCCGGCTCAGCTTCCCAAAGTGCTGGGATTACAGGCGTGAGCCACCGCGCCCGGCCTATACCTAAGATATTTGAGGTCTAGAGAATTTACATGATTTGGTAACAGGCTACTTAATTTTGGGAACTACCTCCATTAATTTCCGTATCATACTTCCTTTCTGTTCTTCATTACATTTGAATAATCATTCAAATACTATGGAAATAAAAATCCTTTTTTCATTTTTTTAGAAATAAACACTTTCTCATTAAAAATCACTCTTTGAGCACTTACGAAGAACAAGGTACTCAACTAATCTTTAAAAAGTAAATGAAAAAAGACAATTTATTGTTCCTGAGCTCAGAGAAGTTGTCATTATTATGGTTGAACGAGAATTCTGCTTTGACTTATATTCTAGTTTCTGTTTCCAGCCATCACAATAGGAGTTAAAAAAAAAAAAGAAGAAGAAAGAAAAAGAAATGCTGAGGTTTGCTGGCAACCATCAGAAACTAGAGGAGAATTGTGGGACAGACAGGTTCTCCCTCAAGAGTGCTCAGAGGACTAACCCTGCTGACTCCTTGATTTTGGACTTCTGGCCTCCAGAACTGTGAGAGAATAAATTTCTCTTGTTTTGAAAAAAAAAAACCAAAAACTATGAACTAAAGAAATATAAAATATCTGCAGGTATTTAACTTAGTACAATAGTCCTCCCTTATGTGCAGTTTCACTTTCCATGGTCAACCATGGTCCAGAAATCTTAAATGGAAAATTACAGAAATAAACAATTTATAAGTTTAAAAAAAAAGAAAGATAACTTGGGTATTTCTTCTCATAACATTCACAAATCAGTCTCATTAGGTTTACATGTAATAAATGGCATAGCGATTTATCTATCATTGCATATTACAGAGGAAGGAAGGGAGGAAGGAAGGAAAGGGGGAAAGGAGAGAGAGAAGGAGAGAAAAAAAGGAAGGGGAAGAAAAGAGAGGGAAAGGGAGTTCGTTGCTAAGTCTTAAAGACATGGCATAGAAATTTTAATTTTGGGGGTTTTTGTTTGTTTTAATGGTTGTTTTTTTCATTATGTTCTTTTTCTATTCCCCCTACCACCTCATTTATTTTTTTATAGAGATAATGGGTGATTATATTGCTACCATTGCTATTAAAATTCATGTACTTTTCCCTCTACTTGGAACTTTAGAGCAAATATAATTACTTAATCTTATTGATGTTTATTGCTCTGTTGCAGTAGCTCATTTACATGCATATTTCCTCAAAGGATTTTCTTGCCTGAGGTTTGGGGAACAATTCGGTTATATTAGTTTAAATCAACAGGTATTATTATTATAGCAATTATAAAATATATTGATGACAACCTTTCTGTAACAAACTTAAGGACAATTTATGTCATTTAATCCTCCCAAAGAGATAAGACATTGGTTTCCATAATCTTCAAATTATATAGGAAAAGGGATATAAAAATGTTAGAATGGACTTGGAGAAAATCACTTAGCAGAACATGGTCAAAATGAGAAAAATAATTTTAAAATCTGTGGCTATTGTAATAAGTACATTCAAGTGCATTAAACTGCCATAAAATCTATTGCACTTTAGTGTAAATATGAGAATGATTAAAATGAAAGAATAATTTTAAACAAAGTTCTCTTGAAATTACAAACATTTATCGTATACTTAATAGAACTTTTCTTTATATTAACACAAAATTAATCCCTATAGGAAAAATCAAGGCCTATAAACCATTGTCGTTATTTTTAAGAATATGTCAAATAGCCAAACTAAATTTCTTTGATCATAAAATATACTTAAGGAACCTATAATATAAGATGTACATTCTAACAATCAATGTTAATGAGAAATGGGACACTATTACAGTTCCATGTTGTTCTCAACTTTTCTCTATTAAAACTGAAAGGACAATCCCTTGAAGTGAGGGGAACACCAATATATGAAACAATAATGTTATTGAATAATATACTTCATTGGCAGAAGCTCATTACCATGGTAATGCAACTACTCAAGGCAACATCATTTTGCTCTTTCGTCCGTGAAACTTGTTAAGGTAAAATCTGATGTTAAAATTAACACCCTCTAGACGAGATTATTTCCTAGAATTATAATTATGTATAATGGGTAACAATAGCATTTTTCACTTAACATTTTAAAAACTGTAAAAGCATCACACTTAACCCTGTGTGATCTTGGAGAAACAGGTTAAGCTTTCAGCAACTCATCTGCTCTATTTCTAAATGGGCGCCAACTTTCTATAGCAGGAAATGGACTGAGGAAACCCCTCAGACAGCAATAATGACCTATTTAAAAGTAGTCAAGAAACATGAAAAACAAAGCACCTTCTAGGGAGTGCAGCAAAGGGCTGTGGGGAATAACGGACTGATGAGTCACTCCCTAATAGCAGAATTGGTCTAATCAAGGAACAGTCCCTGGCCCCACAGTAAGAAGACCTAGCAGCATCTGCCCTGTGAGATTTCAGAATTAATGCAGACAATGACTGCTGTGTGGTTTTCCTCTCTCCCTTTTTTGAATAGACACGTATCTTGTAATTATATTGCCTTAGTCTAATACTTGTGTTGGGTGTGTGTGATATTGGTAAACTTGTTAATAAAGCTCTGGATTTAGAGAAGTGCATCCTGACTTGAAGTATAAGATAAGATACTAGATTCACAGTCTGATACTGTGTTTAGATGAGATTTTATGGGGCCATTGAAAGAGATGAATGTATTTTGCATTTGTGAGGCACATATATAATTTTGAGCAGAGGGTAGAATGGTAGATTGATTACATTAATGTAATCAGTGAATGTCTCTATATCCAAGTCATTTGCTCTGTAAATTCCCAGTCTCTCCCCTTTCTGACTCTGAAAGAGGTTGTGTCTTGTTTTGACCAATTGGTATTAGCAAATGTAATCAGAGAATTGAAAGTTGTAGGTGTATTACTATTTGCTGAGATCATTCTAGACAACAGTCAGTAGACCACAAAACAGGTAAGAGAGCACAGTCAAGACCAATTAATCTCAGCCCAGATCAGCAGAAATGCCAAGCTGACCCATACACCAATTTGTGAAAAATAATAAATGGTGGTTGTTTTAAGCCACCAAGTTTTCAGGTAATTTCTTTCGCAGACATCACTAACTGAAATAACTTCATTGGAATAATCTAGGTCTAGGGCTCCAAATCCTGTGTTGAACCAGGATTAATTACTGGACTATAGATAGTTTCCACTGAGTTTTACCAATAAATCCCTTTTCTAAGACTATCTTTAGGAGAGTCAGTGTTGGGCATATTAACCCTAACTTCTCAGTCCAATACTCTGATCACGAAGCTTGTCCTTAAAAGTCATGCTTAAAGCAAAATACCACAATTTCATAATCAATCCCCTAAGAACTATGAGAATAAGAACTAAATTTGCCAAAGAAAAAACTGGTGGATTATCAGCAATTCCAAATAACCACCCTCAGGATGCAAATTATTTCTCTTGAGGAATATGTGGTAAGATCTTTTTTATGGAAAGCCCAAAAGATATCCAGTATCTGGCATGGAAAATATTAATAAGGCTGACATCACAGATTGAGAAAAGTCTTAAGAAGACCTCTAAGATTTCTTCCAAGTATCTTCCAGTGACCTCCATTATTCTGAGAGATGAAAGAGCCATCCCAAATAACTTTCCTAAACCTTGGGAGCTAAGATCCTTTTTTGGCACTCACTTGTATTTGCCAGTACTGCTACATGGTGTATAAATCAAGTTTTCCAGGAAGTTATGGGAACAGAGTAGGGGAATTAATAGGCCCTGGAAGTATTTTATCTCTCTCTCACTGGAAGATTAGACATTTTAGCAAAGATAGTCACCACTTATGAAAAATTGTAACAAAGAATTTGGGTTGGCCTTGGTGGTAATACTTCTTAGAGAAATCCCACTACAAGACAGTGTAAACCTGCTTCCAGCCTCTGATGAATTCAGTTTTCCATTCTTATTAGATAAGAACTTTTTTCCTTCTAAATGTACCCATAGCCTCTGTCCCATACCAAGATTGTTCACCTCACTGGAAACCAGTAGTTACCCTTTTACCACCAAACTAACCCACTTCCATGTTATTGATGTAGTTGAAGTGTACTCATTGGTACTTGTACCCAGGGTGAGAGAAGCCCATATGGCAAAATGTTTGGACCCAGAAATATATTATCATATTAAACACGGTAAAAGTAATGGGTATGTCCTTCATCTGGGGGGGGGGTCACCAACAGTCTTCCCAAATATAGTACTACCTCTAGACTTTACCCAATCCATGGCACAGAGGGCAGCCAGACTCCTGTCAAAATAGGGGTGAAACAAAAGTTCTGTCACACCATATTACTGTTTCTTAGTCATGAACCACATCAGAGGAAGAGCTAGTGCTTGCCTAATCATACAGCTTAAAATCCCAGGGCCAAAATGTCAGAGTGCCACTGCAGTCTGATTTTCAGCACAGCCTAAATGCTTGGCATTGACCTAGAATGAAATGAACGATAAGGCATTGACACACCTGCTGCTATTCCTGTCTCCATGAGTTTTCCCTGATAAATGCCACTCCAGCACCTTCAGTATGTGTGCTCTCTTGCCATTTCCCCTTATGTGTATGAGAGTTAGCAAGGCAGGATGTAGATCTGGTCAGGTGGCTAGAAAGCCACCATGGCTTTCTAGAAGAAGATTGAGGGTTCAACTGAAAATGACCAAATGTAAAGGAGGGAAAAGTTCATCTGATGCAAATCAGTCAGGCTTTAATATGTGTGGTCACTGATGCTCACGAGAACTAACCTCGCATATTCTCTAAAAAGAGGATAGCCAGGGCAATAAGATCACCTGCAGTAGAATGTCTTTTTTTTTTTTTTTTTTTTTTTTTTTTTGAGACGGAGTCTCGCTGTCGCCCAGGCTGGAGTGCAGTGGCGCAATCTCGGCTCACTGCAGGCTCCGCCCCCTGGGGCTCACGCCATTCTCCTGCCTCAGCCTCCCGAGTAGCTGGGACTACAGGCGCCTGCCACCACGCCCGGCTAATTTTTTGTATTTTTAGTAGAGACGGGGTTTCACCGTGTTAGCCAGGATGGTCTCGATCTCCTGACCTCGTGATCCGCCCGCCTCGGCCTCCCAAAGTGAGAATGTCTTGCTTGTGATTAAATACCATTGAGGGAAGTCCTTCTTAAAAATTTATGCATGCACGTGTGCCTGTGTGCACATGTGCAGACACATACACACACACATATGCACACAAGCACACCAGTATATAGGGTGTTTATCCAATGATGACTAAAAAATGAGAATGCTCAGACTGACTGTTTTGGACTGAAGAGACTATCTGGAAGTCAGAGATGAGAGGAGATCCAAAAATTGTACAACTTCTCTATGAGATTAGAATACTAGAGTCATCAGTGTGAAGGCATAGCCTCTAGGGTCTCACTAGCCCAACACCTCTGCATTATCAGAGTTATTCTATAACTGAAATGCCAAAGGAGAGCCAATTCCTCTCCAGTGGAAGATTCTCCTGCAGGTGAGTATAGGAAGGGTAACTGTTACCACTCAGACATCATTTGATCACCCAATGACATTTCCTCCAATGGCCAGGCCACCCAACAGTAGGTATGTCTTTATTAAATTGATAGCGTTCCCCACCTTTTAACTACCCACATAATGAGCAAATAGAATACCAATCCAAGCCAGGTCTTTTCTTCTTCTCTCTTTTCTCTTTCTCCTTCAATTCTCTCTTCTCTGTTCTAGGTTTCTTCCAAATTTATTGTTTGTCATTTGTTTTTCCCTGTGATTTCCATGTTTGATGTTTTTTCAAGTATCTGATCATCTTTGACTCCTTGCTTTTATATAAGTGGGTCTGTTAAAAGTAGATTAGACTCTCCTTATGCTTGGGTGGGATTTATTGATTCTGAGCTTCACTGAAATATTCTCATTTGCGGGACAATCCCCTATCTCAGTTTCGTTAAGTCTTTTATTCTTAGGATGATGAGATACTATCATGCAAAATTATTTTATTCTCCTACCTGAATTATTTAGCCTTTGCTTCTAGCATTCTATGTCATTTGAGCAATGACGTAGAGTCAGCATATTCACTACGTAAATTTCCATTTTATCCCCATGTTGAGTATTTAACTTGTACTTTCCATTCTTCCCTCTGAACTCCACTATAGAGACCTTCTGTTTATGCTCTTTAGATAATAAATCTCCAAAACTGAGAGAATAAGAGGGGAAGTCATTCAGGTTTCTGAGTAGAGAGAGAAAATGAGTCCAAATGCTTTGCAAACAGACCTTGAAATAATCCTCCTATTATTTTCCATACCTGTGTTCATTTATGCCTTTAAAAAGTGCTAACCTGTACCAATTCCCAGGCCTTTTGGGGTGTCTATGAGGTAAACAATTTGACTTTACCCATTATTAAGTTAGGATTTAACTTTCCTGCACACGCTAATTCCATCGCGCTCGTTATCTTCTTTCTGATTTCCAATTTTTTTTCTATTCTCTCTTCTTATACAGGACTGTCTTTGTCAAAATAAGCATCCAAAAAATCCTTTTCTCTCACTTTTGTGTGGTTTCTTGAGGGAACTGACATAAACGTGTCCGTTCAAATGTGTCTGTCAAACCACCATTTTAAACCAAAAGTCTCAATCTGACTTTTCTTCGGAAAGAATTCCCACAACATTGGCAAACACATCAGCGTTTTAAGCTCAGAGAAATGGTGGGACTACAGTCATGCATTTCCCACAGTGTCAAGTTATGACATCAGAAAATATGATCAATTCAAAGATGCTCTTGTCTGTTATCCTGTAATATTTCCCAGAAGCCTTAGTTAATATAGAGTTCATGGATCTTTTCATACCAGAAAGTGTAATCTCAGAGGGGAGATGCTTGAGTTACAGGAATAGTGATTAAATCCTGTGCCATACACTATCACTATCTTGAAAATTGAAATTATGAGGCACCAGCTGTTGGCTCTATTTCTCATAAATGCAAAAGTGCACATTAATGTCCCTGGAATATAAAATGCTACATGATGCAGGGCAGAAATGTCAGTGAATATATATGCATGATTTTTAATCTTTTTCATTCAGTGCAGACACTTCCTCTGAAGTACATTTGACATTATTTCTTAAATAACTTCATGTTGTGGTCAGTATAAATGCTTTGAAGTTGAACGTTCTAGATAGATTTTAAATATTTTGTTATTATAATAGGATTTCTTACCACAGGACTAAAAAGTGAAACTGGGGTCTAGCTGTGTGATCTTTACAATTCTGCTCAATCCCAGCAAATAGCTATTATTTCTATAGAAAAATATTCTCAGAATTTTGTTTCAGCATTTAAAACAACATCTGTTTGAACTTTTTAAATTTTCATTTTAAATTGATTCTTCTGACTTCGTGAAAACAACAAACCACATCTGTCCAATCTTCAGTCTCCAGGAGTCAAATCTTCAAATTATACTTTTTTCCAGCTGCCAGTAAGTATCAGTGAGCAAGAAGCCAAGTAGTAGAGGTCAAGTGTTAGAGGTGCTTTTTTATTGACTATTGTTTTCTGGTAAGATCTACACTGGCTCTACTATTTATGAAAATAAATACTAAGAGATAAATAAAAAGTGGCCAAATACAACTTTTTCACTGTTTTAAGAAACTAAATACAGTTGCTTTAGTGCAAAGTCTCTACAGGATAGGAACTTATTATCAACATTAGTAATACTAAAATTAATCTCTATAAAGGTGGAATTGCAACTTGAAAAATGAGCTAAAACTATAGGAACTAATGAAATTACCTCAGTAGGATTCCACTTTAATGCCTTTGAGGATCACAGCAGATAACAAATGTAATTCCATTTAAGTTACAGTTAAATAAGGCAAATATTAGCAAACTATATAATCTACAAATATTGTGAAAACATGTTCTGATAAAGTGGTATGATATGCAACAAGTTCAAAACAAGGATTTTCAAAAGGTTAATGTTATCTATCAGTCTGACTTCTCTTGATCTGGACATTAATTATGGATTTTTTAACAGGTTGTTTATTTGTCTTTGTTTGGTTTTTATATTTACCTTTATTAATATTATCCTGAAGGTACATATGAGGTGTTCTGAATCAAGACACATTATCGTTGTTTACCTAAAAAAAAAACACTGCACATTCTTCATATCCCAATCCTTACCCCTAGAACAATTCAATGAAAACCATGTCAATACTACACATATAAATGTCAAAGTCTATATTACAGATGAGGACTGGAGAAAATTGGACTTTATCTCCCTATATACATGGGGAAAAGACAATTGCCTCATTTACCTTTATTGAAATCAGAGAGGAAACCTTTGCTCTTGGGAGTCTGGATGAAAAGTATCCTGAAATCTCACTCTAAAATTTTTGAATATAAATACGTATCTCCAATGGCCAGATTCACCTGGTGTGTCTGACTTTTCTGACCTACAGATGTCACCAAGATCTGAGACACATTTTTCCTTGAGAGGTAAACACATACCTCTGGAGTTAGGGAAATTTGTCTGGAGTTTTCTCACTATCTACACAGTCATAAATTAATTTCCCAAGGCTTGCTCTTATCTTAGGATCCAAAATTTTCAACAAAATTTATTCAAAAAGCTCCAACTCTACACAAACACAAAAATATTTCCTCTCTATTCCACCCACTGGCTAGCTCCAATTACTGGCACTATGAACTTTCTTTGAGGGTTACCTGTAGTGATTCTCACACAAGTATAAACAGGAAGATATAATCCATCCCTTAGAAAATCCAGATTGTAAATATGCATGGCATATTTCATAAACATCATTAACAAAAAGTTGTTTTTACTTAACACAAAAGCAAATGTCATCTAATTTATCTTAACATAGAAGAGTGCCAGACTTCAGAAAGGAATTTGTAGAACAATGGATGATGTTGCTAGAGACTTTTCCAAGTTTCCACCAGCATACTTTTCTCACTACCTTTGAATCAGCTAATTTCTTCCTTTCACATAAATTAGACAATGACATGCTTTTTCTTTCATTTTTCTTTTTACAATTAGCTTATTTCTGAATTTGTCACAACTATGACATTTTCAAAACAACTAACATACCTTTACTTTAATTAAGACTTGAAGGATTATTTCTGATCTTGTAGCAGTTCATTATCTTTTTCAAATTTCTATTTATCTAAAAATTATATTTTCTAAGCTTCATAAAACCAAATTTACATTAAAATACAATTTATTTTGTGGGAAACAGACAATTCTTTAAAAGCATGGTTTAGTTCAGCTTTAAGTGCAGAGCTACAGGATTATGTCAACCATATGAAATGGAGCATTTCTATTAAATACAATATATTTCTTCATAATGATATCCATATGCCAATTGAGAGTGATTACTTCTAATTTATGATTTATCAAACTAATCAGTTTAGTCTCTGAGAAAGACTCAGTGGTAACAATCTAGAAAAAAACACAAATTATGTAGTTTTTCAAAAGGTTATATTTCATAGAAAATACAGAAAATGCTAAATTATGAAGTATATAGAGAACAATAAATATTTTGGCTATTATTTATGCAAATTGATCTACCATAATTCTAATTTTATCTTCAGGTACATATAACATTTGAAAGCAATTAAGTTCCTTGATGTAAATTTAATTAGTCTAATCCTAATTTCTTAAGTAAATATACCAGCTGAAAATAATAACATTTCTATAATCTGGCCTGGAAACAAAATCAGACAATGAAATCAGAAACATTGACCCAGATAAGTTTCATATATCATACTTGGATTATGTAAATCTCCTTAAACTGATAAGCAACTTCAGCAAAGTCTCAGGATACAAAATCAATGTACAAAAATCACAAACATTCTTATACACCAATAACAGACAAACAGAGAGCCAAATCATGAGTGAACTCCCATTCATAATTGCTTCAAAGAGAATAAAATACCTAGGAATCCAACTTACAAGGGATGTGAAGGACCTCTTCAAGGAGAACTACAGACCACTGCTCAATGAAATAAAAGAGGACACAAACAAATGGAAGAACATTCCATGCTCATGGGTAGGAAGAATCAATACCGTGAAAATGGCCATACGGCCCAAGGTAATTTACAGATTCAATGCCATCCCCATCAAGCTACCAATGACTTTCTTCACAGAATTGGAAAAAACTACTTTAAAGTTCATATGGAACCAAAAAAAAAGCCCGCATTGACAAGTCACTCCTAAGCCAAAAGAACAAAGCTGGAGGCATCACGCTACCTGACTTCAAACTATACTACAAGGCTACAGTAACCAAAACAGCATGGTACTGGTACCAAAACAGAGATATAGACCAATGGAACAGAACAGAGCCCTCAGAAATAATGCCACATATCTACGACTATCTGATCTTTGACAAACCTGACAAAAACAAGAAATGGGGAAAGGATTCCCTATTTAATAAATGGTGCTAGGAAAACTGGCTAGCCATAAGCAGAAAACTTCCTTACACTGTATACAAAAATTAACTCAAGATGGATTAAACACTTAAATGTAAAACCTAAAACCATAAAAACCCTAGAAGAAAACCTAGTCAATACCATTCAGGACATAGGCATGGGCGAAGGCTTAAGGACTAAAACACCAAAAGCAACGGCAACAAAAGCCAAAATTGACAAATGGGATCAAATTAAACTAAAGAGCTTCTGCACAGCAAAAGCAACTATCATCAGAGTGAACAGGCATCCAGTAAGGGAGAAAGATGTAGGATGGGAACCTAGGCCTATCTCTCCTTTTCACTTTTTTCTGCCTTCTTTATATTTGCTGGAAGATGATTAGATTGTGCCCACCGGATTAAGGGTGGATCTGCCTTCCCCAGCCCACTGACTAAAATGTTAATCTCTTTTGACAACACCCACACAGACACACACAGGATCAATACTTTGTATTCCTCCACCCAATCAAGTTGACACTCAGTATTAACCATCACAGAGCCCAAGCTAAGTAAGACATTATCTTAGCAAATGTGCTAACCTAATCTGCATCTTTATGGCCAGCAGCAACTTTTACACAACAAATTTCCAGATAATTACATCTGAGGCTTCTTAAATTTCTGTAGCCAGACTTTTGAATATTCACAGTCATATTCAATATTCAATTTTTTAAATAGTATATTCAAGCTTACTTTGTGACCCATAGACCAATCAGTAGCTCAGCTTCACTTCCTTGTTGGTGAACCATTCATTCAACACACAATTGGAATCTTAAATCATTTTTGTTTTGATTTTTTTATGATTCTCGTTTTTCCATTTTTCTCACTAGTTTTTGGTGTTGTTGTCACTGAGAAACTTCAACAACTTGTTTTTCTATTTCCTTAAAATACATGAGTTCATATTTTTCACATTATATCCTTTAGTTAGATACTTTGTTTTATCCTTCATTTATAAAATTTTTCAGGAAGACTTATTATAATCATAATCAAACTTTGGCAGTAACTCCACTTTCTGCACTGTTGTTTATAACAGATGTTTCATTTACTTTATCACCATAGACCATGGGGAGTAGTGGTAGGTCTAACACTTGTTTACTTGTTGAAATTTTAATCTCATTGCAATTAAACTCAAAATCACCAAAAAATAATAATAAAATATCTGTGAACAGCAAATGGAAGAGATAGCTGTCCATTCCAGTCTAGTTCTGTTGTCCATTGAGTTTTATTATTAAGCTTATAAGAAAAAAATGTACTATAGAGCTTTTCAGAATTGTGGAGTTGTATTCATTTATTTATGAGGCAGGCATTATAATTATCTCCTTTTTACAGATGAAGAAACAGAGTAATAGAAAAATTAAGTAAATTCCCTTTTTCATACATATAGTGTTGGGAGTAGAGACAGACTTAAAACTTGGGCAGTCTGACTCCACAACCCTTACTATTAACCTCTCTACTAGATTGTCCCTCTATGCATTTTGACTTCTCTGTTTTCTTTTGTTGCCTCTTTATCATGTTCTTTATTTAGCCTATTTGTGGCTCAAGAAAGTGACATTATTACCTTTCACTACCCTCATGAAAGTGATTTAGGATATCATAACATTCAAGACAGGATTGATTGAATTCTGTAGAACAACCAATTATTTATCATTTAGCCCCCCAAAAAACAGTCAGTTTGGGCTTAACTTCCATTTATGAACTTAGATATCTAAGTTTGATTCTCAAAGTTTTGTGTGTATGAAAATATAGACATATTAGTTATGACTTAGGAAGTAAATAGAAATATGATACAAATGAGTCTTACAAATAAAGCTTAGAATGGGAGAATGAGGAGGAGGTTGGTATCTTTTGCCTGTTTTACAAATCAGAAAGTAAAAATAGGATTTGATGACAACAACATAGGCATACAATATATTTTCTTCTTTCACTAGCCGATGAGAACTTCCTTAGTCATTCTTTATACTTTTTTCTTAATGTAAATATGACAAGCCCAACACGCAAAAACACAAAATACTATGTGTATACCTTGCCACACAATAAACTTCATTGATCTGAAATGTAACTTCTATGTATTTAAACTCTCTAAACACTTGGATTTCTAGGTCTTGTTGAAGTGTTTGTCTGTATTTTAGGAATGGAAACATACTGTCTAAACTTCAAACTTGTGTATGTTGCGTGTGTGTTTTAGAACATATTAGCCTTCAAAGACTATTCTTGTAAACCTTCTGCTATTGCACAATGGCAGCACATGTTTTCATGAAAAAGCATGTTTGATGGAAAGTGGACTGAACTAGAATTGGGTTCTCATTTTTATGCCTAATACTGACACCAACTAGCTATGGGACCCTCACTCAAACTACCTGAGCTACTTGGATAATAATACATGTAATGTGATTTCATTTTATTAAAAAGAAAGCTTGTTTACAAAATATAATAAAATATAATGTGTTACAGTTATTACAATAATGATATGTACCTTATACATCATTTGGAAAATACATGAAAGCAAAAATTAAATCTTTTTAATAAAACAGAAATCCGAGATCATTAATAGAAAATTAGAGTGCAATAATATTTTTGTATGTCTGTCCTAGTCATTTCAAGCTGCCATGACAAAATACCATAGACTGGATCACTTAAACAACATATAGTTACTTCTCACAGTTCTGGAGGGTGAGAGTTCCAAGATCAAGGTGCTAGCCTATTTGGTTCTCTGGTGAAGACCCTCTTCCTGGCATACAGTTGGCCACCTCCTCACTTTGTCCTTATATGGTGGTGAGACAAAGAGTAAGCTCTTTTGTGTCTCTTCTGTCAAGGCACCAATCTTATTATGAGGGCCTCAACCTCATGACCTCATCTAAACTTAATTACTTCCCAAAGGCCCCACATCTAAATATCATCCATCACATGGGGGATTAGGGCTTCAACATGTTAACTTGGAGGTGACACAATTCAATCCATAGCAAAGTTCATCCAGTTTTTTTTTTGTTTTAAAACTTAATTTTACTTCTTTAAAAAACATATTTCTGTTACATTTTACATGATTCAGAGATTCAGAATTTTTAGAAAATCAAGTGTTCCTCAACTCCTTCAATCCCATACCTCCCAGGTAACTAACATTAACAGGTTGGGCTATTTTTCATTCCATGGTTTTTCTGTTCTCACAAACATATAGAACTATGCATACACTTATGTAGGATATTTTATTTAATTTTTATGGAATTATATTTTACATATTTTTCTACAACATGTACAGGCCTAGTTTCTGTACATGTAGTTCTACCTTATTTAATAGACGACTGATAATCTGTAGGGTAGTTGCATTAAAATTACTCAGCCTTTCTCTCTTTAATATAGTTTCAAATTGTTTCCAACATATAGCTGCTAAAACATTTTATAAACAATAAAAAGCTACATATATGTTCAAGTTACAAGAATATTTTAAAATTTGTTTGCATGCTGTACTCTTGTATTTTCATGTACTTAATCTTTTTCCCAGTCATCAAGAGGCATCTGTCTAAGAATGAGGTTAGGGGGTGATAAAATTGTTCAAACAAGAATACAAAATGAAAGAGGATTAATATTCCATTTCTAACATAAAATTTTTAGATCATCAGCAAAGCAATCTATTTGACAGACTATTGATTTCATTGTATTCCCTCTTTACAGAGACAGACTTCAGGATCAGAGAAGGAAAACATGAAATTCAGAGATGAAAAACCCAAAGCTCACCTTTTGTGCTTCTTCTTTGTTGTATAGAGAACAGGGACAAGGGAATAATTAGATCAGATTCCAAGCTCCCCTCTCATCCTGGCATGTGAGTGTGTGTTGGGGTGGGAAGAGCAGGAATATTTATTCTGTAACACATAGATAGGTATGGAACAGTCCAAATCATTGAGTCTAATGGCACACTTGACTGGATTTAGTAGTTGGAGTTTCTAAGCTTTTGAAAAAGCTGCAACTGTGGCCATTTCCCACATGACACAAGGCAATGGCACAACAACCATATGCAATAGGTGAAATAAAAGCAGCGTTCCTAATTCTCAATGACCATACACAGCAAGAGACCTAGTAGTGACTAAGTGTATCAGTAAGAAAACTCAGAGGTGCAGAGAGGGGCAGTGAACCCTCAGAAGGCTAAAGTTGATGTGAAGAAGTCACTTTAAGATGGGAGCCAATGTGCAGACCATCTAAATATCCTTAAATGTGTGAATGAATAAACAAACTGTGGTTCGTCTGTATTAGACTGTTCTCACACTGCTATAAAGACATACCTGAGACTGGGTAATTTAAAAGGAAAGAGGTTTAATTGACTCACAGTTTAGCATGGCTGGAGAGGCCTCAGGAAACTTACAATTACGGCAGAAGAGGAAGCAAACACATGCTTTTTCACATAATGGCAAGAAGTAGAAGAATGAGAACCGAGCAAAGGGGGAAGCCCCTTATAAAACTATCAGATCTCATGAGAACTTACTATCATGAGAATAGCATGGGGGAACTGTCCCCATGATTCAATTACCTCCCACCAGGTCCCTCCCACCACATATGGGGACTATGGGAACTAAAATTTAAGGTAAGATTTGGGTGGGGACACAGCCAAACCATGTCATTCCAACACCAGCCCCTCCCAAATCTCCTGTCCTCACATTTAAAAACACAATCATACCTTTGCAACAGTCCTCCAAAAAGTCTTAGCTCATTCCAGCATTAACCCAAAAGCCCAAGTCCAAAGTCTCATTTGAGACAAGGCAAATCCCTTTCACCTATGAGCCTGTGAAATCAAAAGCAACTTAGTTACTTCCTAAATACAATGGAGGTACGGGCATTGGGTAAAAACACCCATTCCAAATGAGAGAAAATTCGCCAAAACAAATGGGCTACAGGCACCATGCAAGTCCAAAATCCAGCAAGGAAGTAATTAAATCTTAAAGCTCCAAAAGAATCTCTTTTGACTCCATGTTTCACATCCAGTTCACACTGATGCAAGAGGTGGGCTAAGCACAGTAAGAGTCACCTTTGCTCCAGTTCCCAACAAGTTCTACATCTCCATCTGAGACCACCTCAGCTTGGACTTCATTGTCCATATCACTATCAGCATTTTGGTCAATCTTTAGGAAGTTCCAAACTTTCTCACATCTTCCTGTCTCTGAGCCCTCCAAGCCTTGCTTAAAATTTCTTCTGCCAGATACCCTAAATCATCTCTCTCAAGTTCAAAGTTCCACAGATCCCTAGAGCAGGGGCACAATGCTGCCAGTCTGTTTGCTAAAGCACAGCAAGAGTGATCTTTGTTCGCTCCAGTTCCCAATAAGTTCCCCATCTCCATCTGAGACCACCTCAGCCTAGATTTCATTGTCAATATCACTATCAGCATTTTGGTCAAAACCATTCAACAAGTCTCTAGGAAGTTTCAAACTTTCCCACATCTTTCTGTCTTCTTCTGAGCCTTTCAAACTGTTCCAATCTTTGCCTGACCCGGTTCCAAAGTTGCTTCCACATTTTTGGGTATCCTTATAGCAGCACCCCATTCTACTGGCACTGATTTACTGTTTTAGTCCATTCTCACACTGCTGTAAAGAACTGCCCAAGGCTGGCTAAACTATAAAGGAAAGAGGTTTAATTGACTCACAGTTTCACAGGGCTCGGGAGGCCTTGAGAAACTTACAATCATAGCAGAAGAGAAAGCAAACATTTCCATCTTCACATGGTGGCAGGAAGGAGAAGAACCGAGTTAAGGGGAAAGCCCCTTATAAAACCATCAGATCTCTTAAGAATTTACTATCACAAGAATAGCATGGGGGAAATCGCCCCCATGATTCAATTACCTCCCACCGGGTCCCTCCCACAACACTTGGGATTATAGAAAGTACAATTCAAGATGAGATTTGGGTGGGAAGACAGCCAAACAATATCATCATCTTTTGGCACCTAAAGTTTTTTTTTAAATATTGGAGATCTAACGTGCAGTATGCTGACTATACTGTACGTTAATATAATGTATTATGTATAATACTTGACATTTACTAAGACTGCTGCCCCTAGCTTTCTAATGCTTTGCTGAATTACCTCTCCTGTAGCCTCACCAGATTGTTAACTCAATCTATGCTGACCCACTCCGCAGTGATCTGAAATTCACTCTCTCACTGAGCAATCCAGGCCAAATTCCAACAGTTTTACCTTATAAGGTGCTTCTTTTCTATTGAAAATTTCCTCCGTATTTTATTAAAGCTCCATTAAAAGCAACCATCTATGAATTGACAAGAATCACTTTCATCCTTCATTTCAGCCTTCTCAATATTTCACATGGCCATATTGGGCTACTCTGGCTGCCACTTCTTCCCACAGGATACCACTGATATGGCTGACATTGACATTGTACCTGCTTTCCCAGCTGTCCTAGGGTGATAATACAGCAGCCTCAAATCTGGGCACAGAACTACACATCTGCATGCTGGTGGCCTGCTTCAAGAGAAAGCATCACTTTACATTCCAAAGCCCTCAAAAATCAAGGTTCTATTTCTTAATGGAAAAGCTACTAATGAGTAAGCTTTGGGTTCTCAAGGGATCTTATTTGATGAGACTGTTGACTTTCAACATCTATATTTATCTTACCAACAAAATTAATGTACATTGCTAAAAGCATTAATTGCCAATTAACAGGGCTTAACATGTTAAGATAAAATATTTCTCAAAAGTTTATTGCCAGATAATCACAGTGTAACCTGTGTCAGTACTTTATTCTCAAAGATGCTCAAGTTCAATATGGTGAAACTTATAATCTGAAAAATTTTTTTTGAGGTTTCTAAGAGTTGGGTCAAAAAATATAACACTTTTTTATAGTGTGAAAATTTTATATTTTCTAATTTGCCACTTTTTTCTTTCATGATTATTACTCAGAAAAAAATTTATTGTTTCTCTAAGATAAAATATTGGCATATTTTAGGACAGCCATTATTTAAGCCATAATAATACAATCAAAATAGGGAATATTGGAGTGTATTTATAGGCCCATAAGTAACCATAACTAAATTAAACTATTGGCATATTGCCAGGTGCCACGATTAGAGGAAATTTTAATTAAAAACTCAATATGTGTGGATTTTTTGCTTAACTCATTTTCTACATGAATAATTCCCTTAAATTTCATATTTAAGCATGAACTAAGTTCCTTAAACTTTTCAAAATGCCAGTATTTGTAAAGAGACTGCATTTCAGCCACAAAATACTCTATTATACAACCATAACCAATATTGTTTTCAATGTGCATAGACCTCTTTTTCCCTATATTTCTTGTTATTTGTTACTGGTTGCTACTTTCGACTGTTGCTAAGAAAACCTTTGCTTAGAAAACACAGAATATCTTGTAGAAGGAATTGTAACACCCAAATCACCTTCTCTTTCAGAGTTCAATGCTGTAGAATTTCTCTGAGAGCTTAAAATTTTCCAAAATGGGATCCTTATGCAGGGAGGTCAGTAATGCCTCTTCCTTCCACTCCCAAGGAAGGGGAATCATCAAGATCCAGGGGCCAGTTACAGCCTCATTTTATACAGGTTGGGGCTGCACAGCTCTTTTCTCCAGACACCCTAGCACTGTTGGCAACCCCCGGCTGTCTGAGGGGCTGTGACTCTGAACTGTAGAGCTGTGACATCTGGGATTTCATGCCCACAGTGCTGTGCATCAAACTTTGCTGAGTCTAAACTTTTTTTTTTTGTTTCAAAATTTAATTTTACTTTATTAAAAACACATATTCTTTCAACTTCACACAATACAGAGGTGTAACATTTTTAGAAAGTTAATAGCGTTCTTCAGGTCCTTGAATCCCATATCCCTCAGGTAGCTAAAGTTAACGGGATGGGTGAGGAAAGACGTTTTCTCTTCCTTTCCCTTCCTACCCACCTCAAAAACTACTGACTGGCCAGCAGAGATCTTATCTCAGCAAGTATCAGATACTGTCTGCATCCCTACAGTGATTATTCTTTTCAACAGCAGTTTCTTCCAGCAGCAACACATTTCTCCAGTTCTTTTCTCTCAAGTATTGTCCTCTGAAGGACTTTTGAGTTTCACCAATGTTGTCTCTCCTGGGTGTGCTCTGAGAAGCTCTGACAGTGGGCTGGAGGGTGGGTGGAAATGTTCCCTGCTCATTTTCTTCCTGTAAGAAGTAAGTCTCTAGCTAATGGCTTGGCCAGGAGTCCTTTATATTCATAAGGTGGCAGGCCTGAGTGCCTACTCCAATGAATAGGTAGGAACAATCAGACTGAAATACTGGAGTCCAGAACCTATGGAGGGCTATTTTCCCAGCCAAGCTGGCCCTAATAGGAAGAGGATATTCTCCCAGAGTGAAGTTGAAAGCGTAAAGATATCAATCAGATTATTAAAGCAAATAGGATCTTATATTTACCTCAAGCTGGTACAATGGACATGCATTAACGAGAGCATCTCCGAACTCTACTTTGGTACCACAACAAAGGTACAATTTTTTGGCAGACAGTTCACTGAAAAGAAAATATAAAAAGCAAAATATGCAAGTAAAATAAGGTGAAAAGGGGTACAGGCTTAGAATCAGAAGGATCAATTCCAAAAAAAGGATACAGGCTTAGAATCAGAAGGACCCAGTTCAATTATACTGACTATTCAGGATGAGATTTGGGCAAATCACTTAAACTCACTATAGCTCAGATTTGAGGTCAATAAAATGTGAATGGAAGTAACTACCTTGAAAAGTTTTTATGCTGTCTAAATGAGATATTCAGTTCTTAAAAATGTCTTATCTCTTTAGTCTTATCTCTTTTCCAATTATACTGTTTCCTAAAATAATTAGCATGCCTTTTTTTTTTTTTTTTGAGACAGAGTCTCACTGTGTCGCCCAGGCTAGAGTGCAATGGCACAGTCTTGGCTCACTGAAACCTCTGCCTCCTGGGTTACAGCAATTCTCCTGCCTCAGCCTCCTGAGTAGCTGGGATTTCAGGTGCGTACCACCACGCCCCATTAATTTTTGTATTTTTAGTAGAGACCGGGTTTCACCATGTTGACCAGGCTAGTTTCAAACTCCTGACCTTAGGTAATCTGCCCGCCTTGGCCTCTTAAAGTGCGAGGTGGCATGCGCCACCACACCCGGCCAGCATACCATTTTTTTTTAACATTGTATAGTGACATGAAGCTGGTGTCATTAAGGAGAAACAAAGCAATAGTGACATCACATTTATAATAACATTTAATACTAGATGCTTGACAATCAATTTCTGAATTTTATCAGCAAAGTTGGAGTCAGAATTACCTGGCTCCACCACCTCTTATATTTATCAGTGAAGGCCTTAACTCTTTCCTTGATCAAAATTTAATCACAGTCTGAAGGAATATTGTACAGATTGAACTTCATACTAAAAGTACCCAGTGCATTAAGCCAATGAGATGCAAACCTTATAAAATTCCATTAAAATAAAAGTACTCATAAAATCAAGAAACCATTGGTGAGCCAACCATTGGTGGTGTGAAAACACCACCATGGAGAAGTCAAACTTATTTTCAGGGAAGAAATTGAAATTTACACACAGAATTGGGGATTTCAGACTTCATCTCAGAGTTGGTCTGCCTCAGAGGAAAATTTGTCATATGCTCATTCACCTGAAGAAAAATCTGTGCCTTCCTTACTTAGCAAGGCAGAAGGAACTTAACTAAGGTCAACTTAATTAAGTGTAACTCTTAATTCTATAAGTTCAACAAGTGGTAAGAACCATAGAGATATGCCAAGACCATTTCCTGGAGAGCTCAACCGGCATGAGGCTCTCCAGTCACACCCATATGTGCACCCACATGAACTCATGCCCAAGTCAGGAAAAGTGCCTATTGTCTGGCCTGGTGGTCTTATATGTGGCTATAAGGGAAAAGATGGTTAGAAAAGAAAAAGAAACAGTCTGACAAATAATTGCTGTATTATGCTTCTAAAAAGGATCCTTAATATAAGACAAAAAAAGGGAACTCGAAGTTTGTACTTATGTAGTTGGGGTTTTGTTTGGTTGTTTGGTTTGGTTGGTTGGTTTTAATTCAATGTCTCAGGTAAAACTGACATACCAACAGAAAATAAGGTCAGTAGCACGGGAGACTGAAATTAAATGTGTGTGTGTGTACAGCCATGAATGTGCTGCTTTCTTCTGTTAGACCCTTGATCGTCACCCCCAACACCATGTTCAGTTAAGGATCCTGGCACCTAAATTTGTATTTGCACAGCCTTCAAAAGGTATTTCTTTATTATGCTTCTCTTTTAGGGGATGATATCTAAAATATTAATAGTGTAAAAAAAATAGGCATAAAATTAAAAATGATAATGTCTCTCTGTAATAAAAAATACTTGCCTTATCCCTGAGTTTTTTTTAATAATTCCCATTTTTAATTATTTGTCATAGCTGGCTTATCATTTAGGAATTTTAGCCAAAATAAAACCTATTTAACTAAATTTTCCAATAAAACCCTATGTTATAAAAATTATTTACACACCAGAATTTTTTGACATGACTGTTCTGTTCTGTGAAAATCATTTTGCCAGGTTATTCCAGTCTCTAGTTTGTTCGCCGCTATGTAACCAGCAACTAGTAAAGTGCCTAGCATGGAGTTTTCTTCAACTAAATGAATAAATAAATGTATGAGGGTTCACGACAGTAACCAAAGTATATGCTCTAGGTTTGGACTCTCACTCCCAGGATTGTGGAAACTCTCCCCTTGACATATTTCAGAAGTCTCCTACGGCTTCTCACATGAGTGTCCATATTGCTCTGCCTTCCTTCCTGTTACAATAGAAGAACTGTTGATGCTCCCAGTGAAGACCAACCTTGACCCTTCTGCTCTAGATCCCATTGTCTCTGACCTTGCTCTCCTGCATCAATAAGTTTGCTCTCTTGATTGGGTAATTCCTATCGTATATAATAACAACATACTGTAAGTTTTCTCGTCTAAATGAATAAAAAATAAATACTTCTAACTGCTTTCTTAACTTCTATTGCTCCATTTCTCCGAATAGAAAAATTCTTTGCGTGGTCTGTCTGTCACTGATTGAGGGCTACAATAGACCCACCTCCTATTATCTTCTCCCCACCCCTTCCCACGCCTGCTGACACTACTGCATGACTTCCTTAACCCTAGGAATAGAGAGGTCATTCCTAATGTGTGAAAAGTTCTACCTCTCTTTCCTTCTCTCTCATGCTTTATGTGTCGTGCTCTGCTGTTAGTACAACCATGAGCTACTTCTACTCCAGAGGCTGACTCTTTGGCCCCCCAGGTTCCTAAGCAACTGACCTGTTGATGATCTGGTCCCCTGCTCTTTACCCTGGGCTCTCCTTCCACTGCCCATCTCTCTTTACTTTGTGTGAACTCCAGCAGTACCCCCCACAAAGTGTGAATATCCCCCTCACACTGCACTCTGCTCAAACAGCCTTATCATGTGCTCCATATATCTAAAATATTTGGGTGAAATTGATATTGTTTTGCTTACATATTTTTCTTTATAGCTTTGTAAAATGTTTTTTTTTTTAGGGAATAGACAAATCTGAAGTATAATCTGTTTAGCCCACACTGTTGAATTAAAAATTATTGTTGCTTCCCTTTTACATTGGCTCGTCCTTCTTGCATCAAGCTTATATATCATGTTTTTCCTGAAGATTTACCTTCACAAGAGTAGACCTGACCTTTATGGACATAGACCTCAGGGCCTCCCCTATATGTGCTTAAACACATGTAATTTTCAGGTTATTCATGGGCTGAGCTTGAAGACTATATGTTCCTGTTCATACATGTCTTAGAATTGTCAAACAAATGTTAATACATCTCACTGAACAAAAAAAGTGAAATTATAATTTTTGTGAAGTATCTAGTGTTATTTCCATGACTTAAGAGTAAAAAGATCAAATGGAAAAAAAATGAAGGAAGAAAGAGAAATGAGGGTAATCCAATGTTAATCATTTCCTGTCATCCCAACATCCTACAAAGTCACACCCTGTCTAGTTCCTTAGCATCAGAGTCATCAGAGGGCCAATGTTTCTCAAAATTTTCTAGATTTCCTTTCATGTATTACATAAGGTCTCTTACAGGCCTTTAATATTATATTAAATTCAAAATTAATCAAATGTCATGAATAAAGATAAATCAAAACAATGAAATGAACAATCACTTTATTTTCAAACTATTATCTATCGGCATGACCTGAGACTATTGTGGACATCAGCTGTCCATCATTGTATCTGAGTCTGCGTAGCAGAGCATTGTCCTTTTCTGAGCTTCTCTACATTCTGTGTATGCACAACAACCAGAAAGAGAGATACTTATAGGTTGGGAGTGAGGAAAGCTATAGGAGTTCATGTTTTAGTAGATAGAGCACGATAGAGACAGAGTAGCCAAACAGTAGTATTGACCATAATACCAAATAGATACAGAGGAATGGGTGTCAAAGAACATTCATGCATTTTTATTTGCAGGCTTAGTGTGAGGGCAATGTGATGTCACATGATGATGTGGTCATGGTGCTATAGTGAGAACAACGCGATGACGGCACAAGCCTTGAGCACATCCCTTCCCTGCTTTTCAGGGAATTCACCAGGCACGCCAGGTATATGAAGTCTGCTCTCTCATAACTCACAAACCACTGCCAATACTGCAGGGCTTTACCCCAAATGGGTCCTATTCATCTACGCACCCTGCCTCATTTCACCTGTCCTGGGTAAAATCTTGTCCTCTGAGAGAGTTTTACCCAGGAAAGGTGAAGAGATGTTTGCTGACAGAGTTGTTTGCTTTAGAAATAAAATCTAAATAAAATAAGACATTTTAAATAACATGTAGAAGCAGGAGCAGAGTAGGTATGATTCAAAATAAATACTAAATGATTAATTGGACAAGACACACAGTAACAAATGAAGTGAGAAAGCATTACAGTGATGGAAATATTAGACCAATAAATTCTGTAGAGTGAATCATCATATCACGTAAAGTGAATACAATCACTGATGTAGCAGGATAAGGAACTATTACATTGCACTGATATTAGATCAAATCTCGGCTCTGCCAATTATTTTAACTTTAGACATGCAATTTTGCCTTTTCGTACCAATGTTTTTCATCTTAAATTAAACTAATTCCTACTTTGTATAGTGTTGCATGTTTAAGTAAGGTGATATATTTGAAAGCACCAGACAGATTCAAACTACAATCACTGTTGTTGCTGTCGCTGTTGTTCATTTCACTTTTACTATTTATATCCAATTATCATATTCCAGAACCCGAAACAAATATTGAAGGCAGTTTCCAAAGTAACCACATATGCTAGTTGCACAACTCTGTGAGTATACTAAAAATTACTGAATTGTACACTTTAAATAGGTGAATTGTGTGATATGCATATCACAATAAAGCTGTTGTATACATACATGCATGAATTACACATTTACATGCCCATACACACACATATACATACACTTCTATGTTTATAACTCAATTATCCAGAAGTAAACACTGAGGGATCCAGAAGCAGTCTCAATACCTTTTCAGCATGTTAATGATGAGATTTTCAGGAGCAAGAAGATCAACCTGGGTCATAAGGACAGGCTACAAGTTTGAAAGGAATTTATCCTCCAAATAAACTGAAGCAGCCACTATCCACATCAAGTCATAAAAACCATCTGTTCTCCCAGGCAGTTGTATAGCTCCTCTGCTCTGAAAATTGGGGAAAATGATGCTGCCAGTGAGGATTCATTTGTGCTATTGACATAAAAGGCTCTATGTAGATATAAAATATCATTACGTTATTACACGCGGCCCAAAGTCCTTATCACTGATATGTATAGTGTCAAAAGCAATTTTTCCCACCTTGCTGCTCAGTGAAAATTGAAAAAAAAATATGCTCTTATTATTATTATTATTGCTAATTTATTTGGAGGATGTCAAATTTCATCCTCAAGCTGATTTACATATTTAAGAGTGTGACTGATATTATGATACTGTATTGTCCTTAAGATTATTTTATAAATGAGAATATCGAATAGGCAGTTTGTATTTTGGTCTTACTGTTATAGATCATGATTTATTAAACAAATGTAAGTCATGTTATTTTCTTAGTTTTACAATCATGTCTTCCTCACATACTAGTATCTGCTAATTATGCTTCATAGAATACATGTCAGTTGTTGTAATTATGACTTACTCCTTCATTATTATGATCCATTCTTCTCACAATGTAGTCCACCTCTGGCAGCATTGAAGGGTCCTTGGAATGGTATCTGATTAAAGTTGAACCAATCTAGAACCTTTTTGCCAAGGTTTTTACTAGGTAGAAATGAAAAAGGGTGCTCAGTGAGGGTGGAAGCAATGAGATTTCCTGTTCAAGAATTCCCAATGTAGCATTTCCCACCCTATAGATGAAGCTGGCCTGCACAGTGATAAAGTAGATGCAACAAGCATGAAAAAACAAAGCTGTACGTGGAATGAGTCCTGGCCCAGCATGCACCTAGGTTCATGGGCCCCTAAAGGCAAATTTCATCATTATACTTCCCAGTGGCAGGCACCAATAATTTCTCACTTTTAAATTTTCCTTCATTTCAAGCACAAAAGTTGTGACTAATAACACTTAACAACACTTAAAAGATAATGCTCTTCACAATTGTAGTAATCCGAAATTTAGCATATATTTTTTAGAACTTGTCCTATATTTCAAAAAGATATCTGCATTCATGTGTTTATTGCAACATTAGTCACAACAGCAAAGATAGGGGACTAACTTAAGTGTTCACCCACAGTGGATTGGGTAAAGAAAATGTGATACATATGTATACAATGGAATACTATTCAGCCAAAATAAAGAATGAAATCTTGTTTTTTACAGCAACATGGATGGTATTATCTTAAGTGAAACAACTCAGAAACAGAAAGTCAAATACCACATGTTTTCACTTTAAGTAGGAACTAAATAATGTATACACATGAATCTAGTATATCCTCAAAGGGGTAGAATGGTCAGGGGGAATGAGGAATAAGGAATTACTTAATTGGTATAATGTAAACTATTTGGGTGATAGTTACACTAAAAGCCCAGATTTCACCACTATGCAATATATCCACGTAACAAAACTACATTTATGTTCCCTAAATTTATATAAATTATATATATATGTGTGTGTGTATAATTTACTTATATATGTATAATTTATTTATATATTATATACAACCTGTTATATATAGCATATATAATTATATATAATTTTATATAACATACATAATTTATTTTAATTAGAAAAAGATTTGTTTTAGGAAATTGGCTCCAATTATTGTGGAGGCTGGCAAGACTAAAATCTGTGGGCAGATTTTATGGCAGGACGGGAACCTGGAAACTCAGGCAAAATTTCATGATGAAGTCTGGAAGCTGAATTCCTTCCTCTCCAGGAAAGCTCAGTCTTTGCTCTTAAGGCCTTCCATTGATTGTCTGATGCCCATCATATTATGAAGAATAGTCAACTTAAAGTCAATTGATTGCAAATGTTAACATCTATAAAATATACTCACAGCAACACTGAGATTAGTGTTTTATTAAATAATCCCATACTCTAGCCTAACCAAGTTGATACATAAGACTAATCATCACATCGTCCTTATTCTACAAACGTCTAACAACGTAGATGACAACTTCTAAGTATCTTGTAAGATACCTTGTCTTCTAACTTGAGGAAACAAAGCACGTTCACTGAGTGAAAACTCTAGAGCTTAAAATTTAGCCTCAGGGTTTTGAAGCTAATAATGAAGCACTCATATAATATTCCTGCAATGTATAAAGTCAGCAGAACCCCTGAAGTGATTACAACTCTGTAGGCACAAAAGGACCATCAATTACTATTCTAGATATAAATATTAAATATTTACCCAGTAACAGGTAAAAGTTTCCGGGTAAAGTTGTGAATGTACTGTTTTGCTGTTGATCATTATACATAAAAGCATAAACATTGCAGCTGAAATAACAATAGCTAGGTCAGCACCTGCCAAAAAAAAAAGAGTTTTAGAGAGTAGACATTTATTTACTTAGTTCAGCTGCAATTCTTGGCAACATAGGAAAACGAATCTATTTTAAAATGGCATCTGATAAGTATTGAAGCATCACATGGGACAAGTCATTCACACTTTTCTCTCTAACATAGAAGTTCATCATGCATTTAGTATTTCCTTTCTTTAGAAATGAAGTATGCATGCTACTGGCCAAATAGTTACATAGTTTTTCTTTATATCTAGTTTTATTTGATCTGTAAAGTGAGTGATTCAGTAGATTAGTGCTGAATCAATAATTTAGCATAACAATCTTCAAAAAAAATTGCAGCAAGACAAGAAAAAGGAAATCAGATGATTAGTGAAGTGATGGATGTACTTGTTTAGGCCTTGGGCAAAATATTTTATATAAAATAGGTGAAGAAGAGTTGGAGGAAGACAAATCAGGCTTAAGTTCATGCTTTAACTCTTATGAGCTGTGCAATCTATGGAATATTTAAAACTAAGTTACTTCCTCTGTAAAATTAGGATAGCTATAGCAGCCTTGTACAATTGCTATAAATATGAAATCAAAAAGCACTTAGCACACTGCCTTGTGTAGACAAGTATTCAGTAAATGCACACTAATTATATAATCCTCTCTGGGTTTTAGCTTTTATCCTCTCTATAATTTAGCGAATTGGGCTAAATGACTCCCCTGGTACACTCCTCTTCCAAATTTATGCATTCTAATTTCTAGTGATAAATTCATTTGCACTGCGAATAGTCAATTCCATGAGGTTTACCGTGCCCTAACCACTCTTCAGAGAAGCCTTGGGATCAGTACCTAGCTACAATATTTACCTTGTGCCTGGCATTGTCTCATTAAAAAATACTGCTGTGGAAAACATTTGCTGTTTTATTTATAATAGCAAACAATGATCTTATCTGAATTAGTCTTCAGTCACATGAAAAACAGGGCTCTCTACTTTACTACTTTGTAAATGAATATGTCTGGACCCGGCTAGTCCTAATGTTAACCAATAACTTACACTGTCAAAATCATAGTGATTTTCAATTAACCACCAGTGTTTTCTTATAATTAATAGGACAGAGGCCAAAGTTAACCACTTGTTCATACAAATCAGGGATAAATAAGCCCGGCTCTTTGAAAATGACAAACATGTACAGCAGTTACCATGGTGATTCCACAGTTATGGTTACAGAAAATTGAAAAAATGGAACTAAGAAAGTCAAGTCACCATGATTCTACCTTAAATAAATTCCTAAATGTAATTCTGCAATTAGTTCCAATCTGGCAAAAGGATGAAGCCCCAGAATGTCATTTCCTAAAGATATTTTTAAATCATCAACTCCAATCCTCTCTAGCTCCGTTTTCTGAAATCCAGACATCTGTGATCTTCTTGCCCCTTGAGATGTAATAATAAGAGATTCCAACCTTTGATACCCTGTAGAAGACAATATCTTCCCACAGCCAATTGCCTGTATTTCCCTGATAATCCCTGGCTTTCTGTTTACTCATATGCTGTCCTGAAGTTTCACATGTCAAAACAGTCATGAACTTAAGAAAGAAAAAAAAATTAAATGCAGAAAGACTACAGGGCTTATAGTAAACCATTATCAAACAAATGTTCACATTATGGGAATTTCAGAAGGAAAAGAGATAGAAAAAGTCATAGAAAACCTATTAAAGTAATAGCTGAAAACTTCCCAAGTCTTATATATGGACATACAGTCCAGGAAGATCAAGGTCCTCAAATGAATTCAACCCAAAAATCTCCTTTCTGAGGCACATTATAGTCAAATTTTCAGAATTCAAAGACAGGGAGAGAATTCTAAAAACAACAAGAGAAAAGCATGAAGTCATATATAAAGTAGTCTCCATAAGACTAACAACAGTTTTCTCAGCAGAAGCCTTATAGGTCAAGAGAAAATGGCACGATATATTTAAAGTGCTAATAGAGAAATCCTTCTATCGAGAATATTATGTTCAGCAATGCTATCCTTCAGAAATGAAGAAATAAAGCCTTCTTCAGATAAGCAATAATTGAAGGAATCTGAAAGCACTAGACCATCCATAAAAGAAATGCTTACAAGAATCCTACATATGGAAGTGAAAGAATGATAACTAAGATCATGAAAACCCACAAAAATATAAAACTCAGTGACAGCAGACACATATATGAGAAAGAAAAGGGAAACAAATCTCGTCACTGCAGAAAACCAACAAACCACAAAGATAAATAAGGGAGAAAGAAAGGTACAAAGGATATACGATACAACCAGAAAACAACAAGCAAAATGATAAGAGTAGCAATTTTACTGATAATTTACTGAGAATAAAATAATAATTTTCAACGTAAACAGTTTAAATTCTCCAATTAAAATATGTGTACTGGCTTAATGAATAAAAAACAAGACCCAACTATATGCTGCCTACAACAAACTCACTTCACCTGTAAAGTCACACACATACTAAAAGTGAGGAGATGAAAAAGATGTTCCATGCAAATCAAAACCAAAAGCAAGCAGGAGTTGCTGTACTTGTATAAGACAAAAATAAAAAGACTTAAAGTCAAAAACAGTAAAAAGAGCCAAAGAAGGTCATTACATAATGATAAAGGGATCAATTCAGCAAGAGGATATAATACTTCTAAATATATATGCCTCCGACACTGTAACACAGATATAAAAAACAACTATTATTAGATAGAAAAAGAGATACAGATGCCAATACAATAATAGCTGAGGACTTTAACAACCCACTCTCAGCATTTAACAGGTCATCTAGATGAAAAATCAACCTGAAACATTAAACTTAAGCTGCACTACTGACCAAATGGAACTAACAACATCTATAGACCATTTTATCCAGCATCCACAGAATACACATCTTCTCTTCAGCAGATGAAACTTTCTTCAGAATAAGTCATACATTAAGCCATGAAACAAACTTCAACAAATTTTTTAAAATCAGATATCTTTTCAGACCACAGTGGAATAAAACTAAAAATTCATAATAAGAGGAACTTTCAAGACTGTACAAATACATGTAAATTCTATAGCACGCTCTTGAGTGAACAGAGGATTTTGAATGTTCCCAAAACAAAGAAATGATAAACATTTGAGGGGATGGACATGCTAATTACCCTAATATAATCATAACATTGTGTATACATGTATCAAAATAGCACTTTGTTCCCATAAATATGTATGACTATTATGGTACTTTTATGATGTTTCAACTGAAAATAAAATTTAAAAAGGACAGAAAAGAGAGAAAGCTGGACACAGCTACACACAAGAGGACAGAGAGTCATGTGAAGACAGACGCAGAGACTGGAGTTATGACTCCACAAGCAAAGGAATGCCAAGAATTGCTGGTAACCACTAGAAGCTGAAAGGCAAGGATTCTTTCCTAGAGCTTTTGGAGAGAGGCTGGTCATGTCAGCACTGGGAATTCAGTTTTCTTTCTAGCATACAGGATTGAGAGAATAAATTTATGTTGTTTCAGTCCATCCTAGTTTTTGGTACTTTGTTATAACAACCCTAGAAAATTAATATAGCCGTGGAAATACTTTTCTCTGTGGAAAACCTAGAAAATTAACATTCCATAGGAAAGTGTTTTGAACTACTGCCTTTCAGATTGATCTGCTGTGGCCCTTACATACTTTTACCACCCTTCAAAGCTAGATCAGTACATCCACACATACCTCTCCCTCCTCTGAACTCACTGTCCCATATCACTAAGCATTCACCCACTGCCTTGTAATATTCTTGAATTATTTTCTTTAAGTAAGTCTTATCTCTCTACTGCAATGCTAGCTTATATTGAATAATGTAATGCTTGGCTGAACTGCATATATATATATGTGTGTGTGTGTGTATATATATGTCCATATATATGTGTGTATATATATATAAGTCCATATATATGGACATATATATGTCCATATATATGTGTGTATATATATGTCCATGTATATATGTATATATATGTCCATATATATGGATATATATACACACATATATATATGGATGTATATATGTCCATATATATGGATATATATATATGGATATATATATATCCATGAATATATATATATCCATGGATATATATGGATATATATATGGATATGTATATATCCATGGATATCTATATGGATATATATATATCCATGGATATATATATATATGGATATATATATATCCATGGATAGATATATATGGATATATATGGATATATATATATCCATGGATATATATGGATATATATATATCCATGGATATATATGGATATATATATATCCATGGATATATATATATGGATATATATGGATATATACATATCCATAGATATATATGGATTATACATATCCATGGATATATATGGATAAATATATATCCATGGATATATATGGATAAATATATATCCATGGATATATATGGATGAATATATATCCATGGATATATATGGATGAATATATATCCATGGATATATATGGATATATATATATCCATGGATATATATGGATATATATGGATATATATACACATACATATATGGATGTATATATGTCCATATATATGTGTGTATATATGTCCATATATATGTGTGTATATATGTCCAGATATATGTGTGTATATATGTCCATATATATGTGTATATGTGTCCATATATATGTGTATATATGTCCACATATATGTGTATATATATGTCCATATATATGTGTATATATATGTCCATATATATGTGTGTATATATGTCCATATATATGTGTGTATATATGTCCATATATATGTGTGTATATATGTCCATATATATGTGTGTATATATGTCCATATATATGTGTGTATATATGTCCATATATGTGTGTATATATGTCCATATATATGTGTGTATATATGTCCATATATATGTGTATATATGTCCATATATACACACATATAGAGAGAGAGAATGTCAAGCATTACATTATAATATCACATATATTATCGATACATGTGATATGTGCTTAAATATGCTTATATCACATATATTATGTGCTTACATATCTGCACATATATACATAGCACTTATGTTTCATATATATCTTCATATCACATATATTATGTTCTTATATATGCAATAAGCACATAATAGATATATAGATATAGATAGATAGATCACAACCACAGCATTTTGCCCTGCTCCCACACTGTTCTTGTTCTTTCCATTTTAAATACCTGTCTCTCTTCTCTCATTTCCCATCCTCCACCCATTCATTTCCACATGTCCAAATCATACTCAATTTTCACAGTCCAATGGAATTTCCCCTAAAAGCCCTCAGCATTCCAGTCAGAAATATACTTTTCTATCTATGAAGTCACACACAGTTATTTCTTTCCTTGTTACAGCACTTTTTATCTTGCTTACCTAATCTGGATAAAGAGATAATATTTGCTAATTTTTTGGAATTTTATTTTGCCCAGTGGAGTGTGCAGACAGGGCACAAAAGCAGATTCTCCTTGATTAGAAAGGAAATTTATAGGCACTGTAGAAGAGAATATTGAAAGTGAAGACCTGGCACTTACGTAGCTAAAAAGAAAAACTTCAGAAAGAAGATAAATGGCTTACTAGAGGCTTTTTCATGTGCCATGTGAATGTCTTCTCCATCTCCTCAAGGAAACTTTAAAAAATGACACTAATTACCAATAACTTTGGAAATGTTTTGTGGTGAGAAGCAAGATGAATGCCACAAAAAGCAGATCAGACTTTAAGATGGACAAGAAGTAAAAGATAAAGCTACCAGCAGTGCTGAGATGACAGGTATTATTCTTGTCTGTTTCCTTTTTAAACCCTAAACTACTAGAGATAGGAGAGTTTCTGCAGGAACTTTGGATCCCTCACATTTCCTAGGCATGATCTTTTGCACATAATACAATAGCACACATTTGTTGAGTGCTTTCACGTGCTAGATACTATAAATGTAATTTGTTTCTGTGACACATGAGATGTTTCTAAAGAACCAAGGCAATTTAAGTGAATCACCCAAGTTTTATAAATGCTAAGTGGCAGAAAGAGGATTTCAACCTACGCAATTTGACACCAAAGCTTATGATTTAACCATCCAGCCACATTTAGGCCCTAGTATGTAAGCAGTTGCTGAATGAATGAAATAAGTAATATTCAGTGCTTACTAAATACCTGTTGATGGGTTAATAGTTAGGATTCATTCCTGGCCTCTTGATGTAAAATCATAGAGAAAGACTAGATATTCCCTTCCAGAATACTTTCATGGCAGAGATAGTGTGTTAGTCAGAAATCCCCAGAGATCCTATTCAGGTCCTAGTATTTGTCTTCCCTGCTGGTATTTCTATTTTCAGCCTCAACAAATAGACCATTTGTGCACTCAGGTTGCCACAAACAAGAGGACATAATAAGCAGTTAAAATGTATAATGATCTCACGCCCAGCATAAGCCAAAATTCTGAAGAAAATTCAGATTCATGGATACTAGCAGAACCAGCCAAGTGAATAATTTGTCTATTTGATGCAAAGGCAGAATAGTAGGGGGTGAGCTCTACTGAGGTACCAGTGATTGGCATAAGTTATCCTCCTCCTTTATTTTTTCAGTTTTCAACCATTTGACTATTACTAAAAAATAAACAGTTAGGGTATAATATACACAGAGACAAAATAAGTCAATTCAAGAGTGTAATGACTCAAATAGTAAAGAAAGCAAAAAAAGAAAGAAAGAAAGGGAAATTTTGGATTTGTTCTGCAAGACAAACATAAATTAAATGGGAAAAAAATAGTAGCTAAAAGTTAGGTCTGTTGTTTTTCCTGATTGGACTATTTAGTCAGTATGGATATTATAAAAATAAAATGGAAAGATACATATTGTCTCTGGACCTCATTTGGTAAGGTATACATAAAAGTGAAAAATACAGCCTGCTAACAAATTACTGAGTACATAAAGAGAAAAGTTTTGGAAGTTTGGAAAAGTTTGGAATTGTAAATTAGTAAAAATTGCCCTCAAAGAAAATTTAGCACTTATTCAATTCAATGTCTAGGTTTTATAGCTCTCAGTCCTCTGTTATATTTTTCTACACTTGTACAAAAATTAATGATGGCCAGGGACGGTGGCTCACACCTGTAATCCCAGCACTTTGGGAGGCCGAGGTGGGTGGATCACTTGAGGCCAGGAGTTTGAGACCAGCCTGGCCAACATGGTAAAACCCCATCTCTACTAAAAATACAAAAATTAGCTAGGCATGGTGGCGGGTGCCTGTAATCCCAGCTACTCAGGAGGCTGAGGCAGGGAGAATAGCTTGAACCCAGGAGGCAGAGGTTGCAGCAAACTGAGATCGTGCCACTTTTACTCCACTCCAGCCTACCAGCCTAGGTGACAGAGCGAGACTCCATCTCAAAAAAAAAAAAAAAAAAAAAGAAAAGAAAAGAAATGATTATCTTTTAAATGAATAGTTTTTATTCTACTGCTTTATGTCCAAGCTAGTAACAATTTCCATATCATGTTTTCTATAAATATTAGGGCCGTATTTTCAGAGATAAGGCTTTTTTTTTTAATTCTAAAAAGAACCAAATAAGAAAAGCTGGGAAATTGTATTAAATAATGGCTGACAAGGTATTTTTGTTTTCACTTATGGAAAATGAAGTCATAAATTCCTGTTAAGAATTAACTTTTTCAAAATAATGCTATGGGGCAACAGTAAAAACTAGTAATGTTAGAAGAATGTAATAAATGTTTGACTTTAACCATGAGAACATTCCAGAGGAACTAGACTTCCAGGGCAATTCTCTTTACACAGAAAATTCTGCCTTGCTCTGTAGAGAAACAGGAACTTATTAGCCCTAGTCATTCAAACCTAAAGAACTGCTTAAATCCAGAAGAGATGCGAGCAGTCATTCCCTGGGATGAGAGGCAAGAATATCTTGCTGGTTGTGGCACTGCGTGAAATCATTGCCTGATCCTGGTCCTTATAGTCTGATACAATCAGCTGAGACTAAACCTGCATTTTATCTGTGTATTGATACTGTAGCCTCCCACATGGATTGAACATTCAGACATTAACAGTCAATCTGCTACAAAAACCACATCTCTATTCATACCCCTTGCCCAGTGTAGATCCAAACCAAACCCAAGATTACCAGATAGACAGCAATTTTTTCATATTCAATGACGTGGTTTAAATACTGGCCTCTATAAGCGTGAGGCTACTCACAAGGAGACCCATTGATCCAATGAAACAGTTACTACTTCAGTTGCACTGACAAGATAACTACTCTGGATATCATTAAATAAGAAACAGCAACAATTCAGACCAGGTCGACGGACAAGCAGGACTTTTGAGTTGCCACAATAAGTGTAAGACACCTCGTGCTTACTAAAATGCAGCTTCCTCGGCCCCAGTTCAAGACTACTACACTATAATTTCTAAATAGCTTGTTGAAATTCATTTATAAATGTTTCATATTCATATCCTAATTTTAGAAAGGATAGAGATTTTAACTTGAGGGAGAGAAATAAAGTCCTATGAATTAAACTAATTAAGTAAATATCCTGAGTAAAGTTAAAGGATATCTCCTAGCCTATAAGTTCAGCTGTATCGTAGTCATAGATATTAATTCATCTAAAAAAAGGTATACCCTGGCCAGGTGTGGTGGCTCATGCCTGTAATCCCAGCACTTTTGGAGGCCAAGACAGGTGGATGACTTGAGGTTAGGAGTTCAAGACCAGCCTAGCCAAAATAGTGAAATCCCATGTCTACTAAAAATATAAACATTAGCCGGACATGGTTGTGCGTGCCTGTTCTCTACTAAAATTACAAACATTAGCCGGGCATGATTGTGCATGCCTGTAGTCCCAGCTACTTGGGAGGCTGAGGCAGAAGAATCCCTTGAACCTGGGAAGCAGAGGTTGCACCGAGCTGAGATCATGCCACTACACTCCAGCCTGGGTGACAGAGAAAGACTCTGTCTCAAAAAAAAAAAAAAAAAAAAAAAAAAAGTATGCCCTAAAGAAAGTGACATGTTTAAAAAGGGAAGTCAAAATAAGTAAATGCAGTCAACATATGCTGAAAGTATAATTTTCAAGTGAGATAGTATCCTGGTACAAAGAAGAATTTGAGACAGTGAATATTTATTTCCAATTAAAAAGTTAATGTTAAAATATTATTGCAAAGTTGTTACAAAACTTGTAATATCATTTAGGACAATAAAACTGTAATCTCCTAGGTTATCTTTTCTACCGCACAAAAATCAGTTTTATCTGAACTGAACAAAAATCTACAAGTTAACATATAGCTTCACAGAGCATTTTTATCAATAGGAAATAAGTCAAACAAAGGTACACAGACACCTCCCTAGAATTTAATAATTCCTGTATGGATATTTTACATGTTTTAGTACATTTTTTAAATCTGAAGTCATTTTTGTCCTTATATTAGTCTATTTTCACACTGCTATAAAGAACTGCCTGAGACTGGGTAATTTATGAAGAAAAGATATTTAATTGACTCACAGTTCCACAGGCTGTACAGGAGGCATGGCTGGGGAGGCCTTGGAAAATTTACAATCAGGGCGAAAGGCAAAGGAGAAGCAAGCATGTCATCACATGGCCAGCAGGGGCAAGAAAGAATAAAGGGGGACGTGCCACACAATTTTAAAAACCAGATCTTGTGAGAACTCAGTCATTATCAAAAGAACAGCAAGGGGGATGTCTGTCCTCATGATCCAATCACCTCTCCAACATTCAGGATTATAATTCAACGTGAGATTTGGGTGGGGAAATGGAGCCAAACCATATTATCCATTAATTCCAATTTTGATATTTTTTTCTTAATAATGCCCAGCAATGAACCTGGACTAGATGCTGAATCTGGGGATATGAAATATTTGGTCATCAGAGAGGATTTTCTGCAGTAGATTAGAAACATTTTTTCAGGCTTTACCATACCCTCAGCAAAATATCTCCCAAAAATATCTATCTATATCTGTTCTCCTTTTCTTGACATCTAATACTAGTTATGGGTAAAGTATGGCGTTTGTCCAATATTTAACCTGTTTCTCAGTTCCCTGTTTTGTAAAATTGAGAAAAAAGAATACCTCATTTGATGACTGTAAGATTAAATTACACAGGTAAAGGACTTATAATGTGCCTGACATACAGTTTTCAATATTTGTTGGTTCTGATTATTATTTTATATTATTATTGTTAGGATACTATTATTCAATCATAGCATGGGGTCAAGACACACAAATTCAGAGTGCTCTTTACACTGGCAGAGCAATATATTCAGAGGGTTTGCTGGAGCATCAATTTCCTCTTATTAATTATTTGCTGATTCTCTTTTGATTCTTGAATGCCATGTCCCCTAAACAGCTCATCTGAAGAACTGCTGACCACAGAGAGGACACCTTTACTGTCAGTCTGGACCCATCATGCTGTGTACTCACCTTTTCTCACTTGCCAGGTGTCACCTTAAAATTTCTGTTATCCTTGCTCACTCTTCCCTATTTTTTTTAAGTAAGCCTTTGTGTTTGATTTTGAGGCACTTGCAGATTTCTGAGATCAGAGAGCTCTTCCTACTGCAGTAGTCTTTGAATAAAGTCTCTCTTCATCTAAGTCCCCAGATTTTTATTGAACCCAGTATAGACTCTTATCTTATTATTTTCCTAGGCATATTCTTCATTAGATTGAATTCTCCAATGAATGCAATGAAATAACTAATTGGCCAAATTAAACTCACTATTTCCCTTAATAAGTACATGTTTATCTATCTTTTCTCACCATCCTAAGATTCTAATAGTTTCTTCTTAAATCACAAAATTACTCTAGAGTTTACTTTAAAAACATTGCACAGAACAAACTAACACCCTGAAACACCAGATTCCTTTCCTTTATGTAACCCCCTGAGCTTATACCACATGGTGCAGTGGGATACATTTGTGCTTACTCTCTCTCTCTCAGGAAAATATGATGTTAATATTTCTTGAGCTCTGTTTCTCTATAACAATTTTCTTCTTCCCTCTGAATTTTCTAGGTAGTTGGCAGTATGCCCAGGCCTCTTAGATTAGGGTATTCGTTCATCAAACATTTACCCTGTTTGATAGGAACTGTAGATACTGTGATAAACAATGCAGGCCCTTGCATGGAGATACAGAATTACAGAGAGCCCTGTGGTTTTCTGTATTATTCTAGTCTCCTTGGTATTCCTCTCTCTTTTAAAGTAACTACTATTGTACATTTTAAAGAAAATTATTAAGATACTTCATAGGTCTTACCCCAAGTAGTTCTTTTTGTCACTTCTCTTAAATTCACTTTTTCACCAACTGCTATGACCAAATTTTTCTTGAGTTCCTATCTTTTAGTCTTATAAATGTAGTATTGCCATGATTATTATTTAGGATTTCCAGGGCTGCAAGAATCTAATGTAAAAGAAACTAACACAAAAGATAAATTAGTGTCTCACATTTAGATACAGTTAAAGCACAATCCAGGTGCTCAGATGTCATTAGGCAATCTGTCTTCAAGTCTGCTCTGATTTCCTCTGTAACACCTTTTTTCTAAGACAAATCTCCCCACAATGGGATAAGAACAAAATAACTTCAAACACATACTCTGTAACTTTAGAAAATTTAGCTTTTCAGGTGTATATTTTTTCAACTAAAGTTCTGAGATTGTCTGGGTCATGCATTTGCTGACAAGCTGTGATGCTTTAGTTAGCAAAGTCTGGGTCACATGCTTATTTTCGAGTTGGGGAGAGTGGGTTGTCATTAGCCAAGCCAGAGCCATATAGAGTAAGAGTGGGAAAGAATGGGTTTCCATAGAAAAATATGTGTTGCTGTTACCAGAAGAAAGGCGGACAAGTTACCACCAAAACATGGGTATATCTAGTGGGTGCAAAGGGCCAAGAAGAGCCCAGAAGTGGGGGTTGCATGTTGCTTTTGCCATGGCGGTACAGACAGGCCTGGTTATGCCACTTCAAAGGGAGAGGCAATAATAATGGGTGAACTTCTATTTTTCTTCCAGGCCAACATAAGTGTTTACACAAATATGTCTAACAGTATCATCATCCAATGTAACAATATAAGAAAATTTCAGGAAACATAACCTTCATACAGGTGTCTTGAATGATTAGGATATTGTCTTCATAACAACTTTAATCTACAGGGATTTTTGTTGAGTTAGAAAGATAAAGACCACCCTTCCCCTTCTTACCATTTGCATTGCTCTTGTTTATTCATTCCCAGGGTAATTTTCTCTCCAAGGAACACTATTTAGGCCCTGTAGGGAACACAAAGAAGACTCTAATATAGCTCAGATACAGATCTACATATGTGTATGTGTGTGCATGTGTGTGTATACAGACATAGCTCTCTGTCTCCAAGGAGCCAACAACATACTATAAGAGATTAAATGGTAAGTGCCCTATAAAAGCTATAAATCAGTTTCCAAATGAACCCAAAAGTGGAAATCAGGAAAGACTGTATGAAATAATTAATATTTGGAGACTGTGTAAAATTTTGAGACATAAAATTGAGTTAGTATAAGCAAAGGCAGAAAGATAAAGGCTGAATGTGTCTGCAGAACATAGAGCAAAGAAATGAATTTTGTTGGGCCAAAAGTTACATACAGAACACTACTGAAGATAATTCTGGAAAAGTAGTCTAGGATCAAATTTTTAAAGATCCTCAATGGGATACTAAAAAGACTGACCTGAATTCCATGGAAAATGAGGAGATGCTGAATATTTTTAAGCAGATCACATGATGAAGGCAACATTTTAGAAACATTAATCTAAAGCAGTAGGTTCAGTGCTAAGGTGAGAACTAGAATTTGAGAAACCAATTAACAGTTTACTAGAGTAGCTGAGGCTAGAGGTAATGGGAAACCGGAATAGACTGGTGACAGACGAAAGAAAAAGAAAAAAACAATACTAGAAACATCAGAGAAAAATTCAAAGATTAGGAACTCTTTCCATTTTTCTTAGGCAAACATACTGAATAAGAATGGTATATTTGGGATATCGACTTTTGGATTTCCCACTCCTTACTTCACTGAAGTTTTGTCTTTATCCCTACCCCTAACCATTGGTGGAAACAATTCTGTCCAAAATTTCCAGTTCCTGTCTTATTGCTCAATCCAATGAAACCGTCTATGGTTACTTTCTGGCTCTTTCCGATGCTTCAGACTCTCTGCTCTCTCTAACAACATTCATGATACCATATGCTCATCATTCTTATGTTTCTCTGAAGGATGTTTTAATTCAATCACTTTTATACATGCTTTCTGCTTATGTCTTAGATGGCAGGATGACCTTACCCAACTGTTGTTTATGTTTGTTATTATTTGTTTAATTCACTTTAATTATTTAAATAATTATAGGTTGGCAACTCTCCAATCTATATTTCTGTCTATATTCTGAACACTTTTTAAGTTCTACATTCATAAATAACACTCCTAAACATATTCATTGGCTTTCCACTAATACCTCATAATTAATAAGCTCAAAACTGGAAACTTCAAATTGCTCTAAACTAGGTTTTTCTGATTTTAATCTAATCTCAATGAATAAAATTATCATACACTTTGTCACACAAGTCAGAATATGAAATCATCTTTGATTTATTCCTTTATTTTAAATGAAATAAAAGACTAAGACATGTTAATTTTATCTCCAAAACATTTCCCCAGAATAACCATTTCCATCATGTTTTAACTGGTAATTGCATAATTTAATAATTGGTACCCCAGAATCTTTCCTCAGTCAAATTAAATTTGTCCTTTACATAAAGCAAAGTGATCAATGTAAAATTTGGATCTGTTCACAACATCCCTTTCTTTAAATGCTTCACAGACTCTTTATTCCCTTCAGAATAAAATCCAAGCCCCTTAGAAGAACATATAATATCCTTAATGAAGTGATTACTTCTCTATACTCATGCCCAAGACTCATGACACACGACTTAAATTGAATCAAGGAATTAAAAAGTAAGTGCAGTTCTTAAATATCATGTGTTTATTATTAAAATACTAGTATAGTATGCAACTAAACAAATTGATCACTTAATTTTCTGTCTATATTATTTAAATATATAAAAATGTTGTTATTTTGAAAGGATAGTTTTCATAAAGTTATTTAGCAGATTTTTCATAAAGTTATTCAGTATGACTTTCTTTTGATACTCATACTGAGGATCTATGTAACTGTTTGAAAGTTAATAATTACTGTGAATATAAAGTGCACAACTTTTATAAGTATCATTAATTATTGCAGGATTGTACTATTGCAATAATAACTATACAGTTTACTTTAACAAAGATAGAATTTCAATATGTAAAGGACATAAGGAGATTTTTGCTCCAATATATATTGCATACTTGCCTATGTTTAAAGTGAATAATCAGATTAACAATAAATCTCAAAGACATACTCTGCTCACATTACTGAAAAGGCTATGCTGATTAAGTTTGATGCTAAACAACCTGATTTCATCATCATTTATCACTGGTGAGACTAAAAATTTCAGAACCATTGTTGAAACAGTCATTCAGTAATTCAGTCTTCCTAAGTCTGAGGCCAAAACTGAAGTCAAATTTCAGAATTTGGCTAACTATCAAGGCCAAACATAGCTGCGTCTTTAATATTTTATTCAGCATCAGTTCTAATAATGTTTTAGTGGAAAACATTCATATTCTTTGCCCTAGTGGAATTTACAGTGCAGTAGAGTAAACAAATTACAAATCAATAAATAAACAAATACAGTCTGTCCTAGTTACTCACAGATGCTGTATTTTTTAATTCATCTACTTGCTAACATGTACTTGTTGACCAAAGTCAGTACTCACAATGCTTTCACAACAGGCTCACAGCAGATAAAAATATGAGTCATCCAAGGCACATGTTCCCAGATGAGGTTGAGCAAGCTGACTCTCTGCCTTCTTTTTTCAACTCCCATTCTGTAAACAAGTGTCCTTTTCATAGTCCATTTATTGCTATATGTTTTATATTTTTGTGCTTTTTCCTGGTGATTTTCTTATTTAAAATGGCCCCCAAGCATAGTGCTGAAGTATTGTCTAGTGTCCCTAAAAGCAAGAAGGCTGTGATGTTCCTTAGGGCGAATATGCATGTATTAGAACAGCTTCATTTAGGCATGAGGTATAGTGCTTTTGGCCATGAGTTTATGTTAATGAATTAACTATATATATATATATATATATATATATATATATATATATATATATATATATGTTAATGAATTAACTATATATATATATAAAATATTTGTTCAATAAATATTTGCTAATTTGGTATTTGTGGGGACTTTGTAGAAGATGATTACCTCAAATAATGAGAATTGACTCTAAATAATGATATATTGTGCTAGAGTTATTATTCCTGGAAATGAAAAGGAATAGAATAATATTTTAGAAAATATTTGTAGAGGTAGATGCGTGTTTAGAATTGGAGATAAGAAAAACTTTTCTTAAAAATTATAGGCTATTACAGGCATACTAAAAAGGAAAATAAAATCTAAAAGATTTTAGGAGCCCAGCAGAGAATTAGATTAGTAAAATTTACAATCAACTGAAGGTAACAGGGGGATTTTCTCAATGCTTTCATAATTTCCTTACCAATATAAGCGTTGAGATACATATATATATATATATACATGTATCTCATATATATATGAGATACACATATATGTGTATATATACATATATACGTATATATATATATATATATATATATATATATATGAAGCGTGAGAGAATTAGAAGTTACCTGCAGCCCCAACTTGCCTGCCAACAAATTAAAGTAATTCACTTGGAAAAAGACTGTCTTTCAAACTTATTAAGACAAGTGGAAATTCCAACCACTACATTATGCATAAATAACCTAATACAGTATACACCATCTTGATGAGAATTCTGCTGATTATAAATAAATATTATTATTATGTAAATCAACAAAAATGCAGTGGATTTAATGTTTCTTTAGTCTTTTTAATTTGGGATTGAACTGTCGTTAAAACTTGTCATTTTATTTTTATTTTTATATTAACTTTGATGGGTTCAACAATAAATGGTGAACTGGAACTCACCCATGCTTTCTGTAGTACAGCTACTTGTGAAACATGTGTGCCAGAGATCCATTCTGCTTTGGTTCAAATCCTGGTTTAAGAACTTATTGGCTGATGACCTTATAAACATTGCCCACAAAAAAATGTAGAACCAAACGTTGCTAACTGCTAAATAAATATTACCTATTATTAGCATACACTTTAAAAGCTTTTACCCAAAACAACATTAGGGAAATATAATTAAAAACAAAATCACCTCCCAATCCAGAAAACCTCTTCATAAGAGTAGAAGACAAAACAAAATATTATTGAAAAAACATTTGGCTAGGCGCGGTGGCTCACGCCTGTAATCCCAGCACTTTGGGAGGCCAAGACAGGTGGATCACTTGAGGTCAGGAGTTCAAGACCAGCCGAGCCTGAGGCCAGGAGTTTGAAATCAGCCTGACCAATATGATGAAATCCCATCTCTATTAAAATACAAAAATTAGCTGGGTGTGGTGGCATGTGCCTGTAATCCCAGCTACTCAGGAGGCTGGGACAGAAGAATGGCATGAACCCAGGAGGCGGAGGTTGCAGTGAGCCAAGATTGCGCCATTGCACTCCAGCCTGGGCAACAAGAGCAAAACTCCATCTCAAAAAAAAAAGAAAGAAAGAAAAAGAAAAAACATTCAACAAGAATATGATGTGCATCCTAGGCAATCCTCTAGCAGACAGCAAAGGCCGAAAGAAAGCTTATCCTTTTGTATTGTAAAGCAGATATAACCATTACAGGAAGGTTCTCAACATAAACAATAACTAGTCTTCAAGTAAGAGGACATAACAGCCCAATATGTCACTCATGGCTCATCCTAAATTTATTTGGTGATTGGGGAGACAACCTATGCTTGCTAATTGGCTTTATCCAGTGAAAAATTAAACATCACATGCTTTATGATGAGGCAGTTTTGAAACTTGGACTAACTTGCCTAAGTTAGGCTCCTACATTCTCACAGAAACTGGAAGATAAGGATGCTGTCTCTCTTGATGTATACATTTCGAAGGCATGGTTCCCAGATCTTGAGGAAGGTATAAAAGCTGATAAGAAGCTTATTCAGCTTGTAAAAAGATTTACATACATTTCAAAGGGACAGGGAAAGCCCTTACAATTACAAGTTTTCTAAAGTAAATGTTCAAGGAAAAGGGAGGAGGTGAGGAGTCTCTTCTCTTATTTTCAATAGAGATTTAAGACTCTTCTTTGCAATTCGTATTTGCTCTTATAATCTCAATACCCATAAGAAAACCTAACATTCATATGTGTTTAAAAATTTGCACCGAAGTTCTACAACATTCTCCTTTCTAAAAGTTTTAAATTTATTTTCTTTTCATGGTCCTGAATCTAATAATTGACCCAATTGCTCCTCTAAAGTGGGGATAAGCAGCATACACTACTCAATCCAATTTAGTTATAGAATAACTAAAATTTGTATTGTGCTGCTTTCTACAGGTACATTTCCTTGGTGACATTTTTCCTATTTTTCAGGAGAGCACTCAGCAAGGGTGCACACTGGCCTGACACTGCCAGCAGCCTCGTGGACTAGCTGGGGTGAGCGGGTAGGAGGGTAAAGAGATAAGGTAATGAGCAGCCGCTGTCCTCTCTCCACATTCCTAGGGGATGCTCATCAAATGCATTGATTTCAAAATCAATGAAACAGAGTGGCTAATTTATTTTGACAAAGAAGCTCAATGAAATAAAACTATTTTACCCTAAAATATGGTTTTTGAATATTTTTAAATGGCTGCCCCAGAGCCAACAGACAGAGAAGGGAGAAGTTTGCGTCTGTAGAGAGCCTTCATTAATGCAGCCCTGCCTCCTCTTTCTAGGCATTTCCCTGGGATCTAGGAGAGATTGGGATTTGGACACATTTAAAGGTCTGAAAAGAAACAGTTACCATCTATTCTTTTTGAGGACTGCTAACCTATGAGGTTTCATCTGCATAACAAGGCCACCTTGGCTACCCAGGCCTCTTCCTTTCTCTCATAACCTGTCTTGCCACTAAACCTGATTTACCAACGTAGACTGTTTCTGGCCATGCTCTAAGTCTGCACTGTTTCTGTGGCTTTAGGATGGTATATAAGCTTCTGTATCTTATTGTCAGGTTGGGTCTTCCTCCTGAAGCCTCCCGTGAATACATGTTAAATACATTATATGCCTTTTTTCCTATTAAGCTGCCTCATAGCAATGATTTTTTTTCAGTGAATCCATAGGAGCCCAAGGGCCTGTGACCTCACACAGCCATGCCTTTTATTCCCTCTCTACTCCACGCTTTGGCCTGTCCACTGTGTCTATTGGTGGGTTTACAACTACATGTACAAACAGACTCACACAGAGGTGTGTATGTGCCCCATGGGCACACACACAAGCTCCTAGGTCCAGCACACCACCTGAAAATATAGGAGAAACTACCAGAATTTTTAAAATAAATTTAATACTTTTAGAAAGGAGCACCTTATAGAAATTCAGTGTAAATTTTTGTAGTATTGTATGGGTGCCCAAAAAAGTAAAGCAAATCATCTCTACTAGAATTCACTATTTTAAAGCAGAGAGACAAATTTAAAAATAAACAAATAATAAATAAATAAAGTAAAAGTTATTTTTAATCTCTTCTTTTTCCGGTTCTCTTTAACTGTCCTGATTAAGGCTATAGTTACATAATTTGATTTAGTCATCAGCACTAGAATGTGATTTAAGACAGGAAGAATATTAGAAACAAATAGAATAAGACAACATCTATGTGGTATAATTTGGAAAGCATACTGAGAACTGTTTCTCTAATGTCAGTCTGGCAATTTGCCTGAAATTCCACCATTAGAACTTCATTTAAGTTTCTGGGAATATCAGTGAAAATTTATAGGCCTCCAAAATTGATAACATGAGGCTATATTCATGGTCATTTGATTCTAAGGGGACCAGTATAACAAAAATATTTACAACATGAAAGCAGACTGAAAAGCAATGATATAGGGAAACGTTTGAGAGGCGAATACACCCAATATTAAAATCTGATACATGGGATTTATTTCTGAAGGACAGTTCCAGGAAATGAGACACGTGAGGTATCTAACATATACGGGCAAGGTACTTCTGAAAAGAGGTGGATTCTTAAAAGAGAAAGAAAAACGAGGCCGTAGCTCAACTTTGCAATCTATATTATTTTGCTTTTATGGATAAGGTAATTCAGAACAAAGCATGAAAATTGTATATTGTCCCTGTCCTTCTAACAGTCATACAGTCAGATGAGTAGGCTCTGAAGACACTAAAATATAACCGTGAAGGGAAAATCATTTTCACCATAATAATAAAGTATTATTACTGCATTCAGTGTATAAACAAAGAGGCTTAAACAGACCACATTCTGTCTTTTTTAAGGGATATTTCAACAACCTTCTGAAATATTCACTATTTAAAGGAAGTCAATAATGTCTGTTTTCAAGGCTTAGAGAGACACATATGTCCCCCCCAAAAATCAGGAAACTATTAAAACAAATTGAATCTTTAAGTTTTATTTTGAAGAGAAGATTATAAAAATATATTTTGTAGAAAAGATAAAATCTTGACTCTCATACAAATATAAGAGCCAAATTTCTCAGTGATTTTATTTAGTTTATAATCAGTAAGATGTAAAAACTGAACCTGTTTAAAAGGAGAATTCAGATAACAGTTACATATGGGCAATTAGAAAGACTGATGTCAATTTACTAATGTATACAAAACTGAGCCTTTCCACAGAGGTAAGGCAGAGAATGAATTGCATCTCCACTGGACAAAATTCAGCTTTGCTTAAATGGACAATAATAAATTGTATTACTATCAATTGTCCAAAATGTACAGAGTTGTAAAATAATTCAGTTAAAAACTGTGAAAGGAACAGAGCCCTGCAGAAGCAGGTAACTCAAAAGAGTGCCCCAGACAATGTCTAGTATTCCATTAAAAGGACTCACAATAATCTGCTTGACCATTTTAAAGCCTTTCACAATCTTTCCCGATATAAATAAGGTGACATGTCTCAAGACTCTTGGCCACAGTCACTGAGACTTTGGAAAAAAAAAAAACTGGCATATTGACCCGGGTTTAGTCTAATTATCTTTCCCTTCTTTCCATTATCTCAGTGCCACTTTGCTTAATAGGGATCATAAGATTTGGGTTCCAGATGCTTCGCTTCCGAGACAGGCTAAGAAAACTTAGTTTAAGGGAAAGCAACTTTAGGATTAAAAGACAATGAAGAAAGTGAATTATCAAGGTTGAATTACTTGTCACTTTTCACACTTGTAATTTATTACACAAACATGAACTTAGACATTTCTGAGCTACATATAAGGAGAAAATTCTAAACTATTATCCCTTTGCTCCTTAAGTGAAAACTTATTCAGTGTTTATCAACTGTAGGTTTTTCCCAATATGAATTCAGAAATGCAAGAAAGCAAAACAGGTGAAAATTAAATTTACATTTTCAAATGACATTTTCCCATTATACAATATTTCCTTATTTAAAAGAAAACTTAATCATTTGACTCATTCTAAAAGAATTCAAGGATAATGCTATGGTTTGAATTATGATAGTTTTTCAAAATTAATGTTGAAACTTCATCCCCAATGCAGCAGTATTAAGAAATGCAGAGTTTGGGATGCCTTTGGTGGAACACTCATTAATGGGATTAGCACCCTTAAAACTGGGATTGAGGTTGAAGGGGGTTGTCTCTTGTCCTTCCACCTTTCATCGTTTGAGGACACAGCAACAAGTTGTCATCTTGGAAGCAGAAAGCAGACCTCAGCAGACACTATTGCTTGGGACACCTTGATCTTGGACTTCCCAGCCACCAGAATGATAAGAAATACATTTCTGTTCTTTATAAATTACCTAGTCTGTGGCATTTTCTTATAGCAGCAAAAAAAGGGGATAAGACAAATTATTATCCATTCTCCCTTCATTAACTTAGGAATTATTTCATTTATTCAAGAACATTTAAGTCTATTCTCCCACGAGCCAAATGCCCTCTTGAGAATTAGGATATAGGCCAGGTGCGGTGGCTCATGTCTGTGATCCCCGCACTTTGGGAGGCCAAGACAGGCGGATCAGTTGAGGTCAAGAGTTCAAGACCAGCCTGGCCAACATGGTGAAACCCCATCTCTACTAAAAATACAAAAATTAGCCAGCCATGATGGCATGTGCCATAGTCCCAGCTGCTTGGAGGCTGAGGCAGGAGAATAGCTTTAACCTGGGAGGTGGAGGTTGCAGTGAGCTGAGATTGTGCCACTACACTCCCCTGGGTGATAGAATGAGACTCTGTCTCAAAAAAAAAAAAAAAGAGAGAGAGAATTAGGATATATAGAATGGCCTACACATTTTCCTGCTATTTCCCATTCTTGCTGGGAATAGAATTAATGGCAAAGAAGAGATTGCTGGATTTGAGTTTATGTAACTGAATAGCACTCTCCTCTTTAAAGAGGCATTTGTCTAACACAACCAGCATAAAGACCCAGCTGGCTAATCTAAGCTCATTCAAAATAATCTAGAGGAAGACAGGAATACCACAATTAAAAGGGTATTTGCATGATATGGAAAAGGCTTTGTAGCCAAGATCTTTTCCACTACAGAGAAGTTTTTGCATTGCAGTTTTGCAGCTATGGGACTAACATAGTACCTTAACTAGCTCTCTTTCTTGAAGATACATACAAATTAATGAAGTTGAGCCTAGAGAACATTATGCTAAGTGAAATAAGCCATGCTCAGAGTGACAAATACCATAGGATCTCATTTATAAATGGAATCTTAAAAAGCCTAACTCATAAAAGTAGAGGGTAGAATAGAGGTATCTAGAAAGTTGGTGGGCAGGGTATAGATGGGGAATGGGAGGCCTTGGTCAAAGGGTATGGTTCAGTTAGACAGGAGGAATAAGTTCTGGCAATCTATTGCACAGCATGGTGACTACAGTCAATAATAATGTATTGTATATTTTAAGATAGCTAAAAGAGAGAATTTTTAATATTCTTATCACAGAGAAGTAAATATTTAAGGTAATAGATATAATATTTGAGGTTAAGTAAACTGATTTGATCATTCCACAATGTATACATCCACCAAAACATCACATTTTGCCACATAAATATGTATTATTATTGGTCAATTAGAAATAAAGTAAAACATTACAAAGTAAATGAGGCCAGGCATGGTGGCTCACACCTGTAATTCCAGCACTTTGGGAGGCCAAGGTGGGTGGATGACTTGAGGTCAGGCATTTAAAATCAGCCTGGCCAACATGGTGAAACATCATCTCTACTAAAAATACAAAAATTAGCTGGATGTGGTGGAGCGGGCCTGTAATCCCAGCTAGTAGGGAGGCTGAGGTAGTTGAATCTACTCAAGTAAATGAGTAGAATAGAGCAAAGCTAAGTTTTCAATGTTCAAAATAAAACTCTAATTCTATTAAATCAAACATGTTTCTGAGAATTTATAAATGAATTCTCATGAATGTATAAGAGTTTCAGAGAAAATCTTCAATTCATGTCCCCATGGAAATAGTTACACATAAATCTTTTTTTTTTTTTTTTTTTTTTTTTTAGAGGGAGTCTTGTACTGTCACCCAGACTGGAGTGCAATGGCGCGATCTCAGCTCACTGCAAGCTCCACCTCCCAGGTTCACGCCATTTTCCTGCCTCAGCCTCCCAGTAGCTGAGACTATAGCCCAGCCTAGTTACATATGAAAAAATATTGCCCCTCTACTCATCCCACCTACCAACCCCCACTCAAGCAATTAATGAAGAAATATCTACTTGGAAGAGTTCCTCACCATTTGGCCTATCTTCTCCTAAATTCAACAGTATTCTTTGTGTTATCATGTATAGTTATACCATTCTTTGACTTAATTAAAATTTTTAGACTTAATTAAAATTTTAATTACATTTAAAAGTTATGGAATTATTTGTTAGCAAATTATAGATAGCTGCTAATAAAACGTAAGTGCTAAAATGCAAATCATATCTAAAAGTAAAAGACACTGGAAAACATACCTGCTTTTCATGTGGTTAATCTCAATTTTATAAAAGGTTTTGGACAGGAGTTCCATTGTACTATGAGTATTGATACATTGTAGATTTCATCTGCTACAAAACTCTTAATTAGAAATAGAATATTAAAACCCAGTTAACCTAAGCTATTTTGCACAAAAAAGAAAAAATCAAATAGGAGTTTCCTCTTGTAAATGAACACATGTGTGTTTCTGTTGACATCTTCATGTTTCATGTCCAGTCAGAAGCAGCTTGGAACTTACGCAGCCCAAATATCTAGGTAGTAGGCAGTGAGTTTAGTCAGTAGTTGAATGCAGATATAACAGAAAAAAAAAAATCACAAAGTTATTTCCTGTCTGCTAGGCAAATATCTGGGACTTTTGCAGCAGAAAATCCACCCTAGAACTTAAAGTATAATAAAAAAAAAATTATATATATATATATATATAAAGAAAGAAGACTTAAACAGCAAATACCCTGGGAGAAGTAATACAGTGGCTTTAATTGAAATAATATTATCAGTTGCTACTACTGGACCCCCTCCTTGAGAATAATGTGGGTTAGGTGACTTTGGGGAGAAAATAGGGAATATGGGAGATAGAAGGGCAAAAGCCCTAGAGATATAATTGAGATGGAGAAGGAACATTGTGACATCACCTAATTTATCCTTTTTTTTAAATTTTCTGGATCCAGTTTTGCTTATGCCTCTCCTTTCTTAAATTTTCCTAGAAAATTATTTTTATGGAGAATTCAAATTTATGCATAAAGCTTGTAGAATGTAGTAGGTAACTCTGCTCCTCAAGAATCAAAGAAATAACCTGGTTTTTGCAGGACTTATGAGCTGAACTGTGAGTACAGAATGCTCATGGAAATATTAGGCTAATAGATTATGTTTGTTTATGAAGAATTTTGAAGAAAGCAAAACTTGTCCAACCAAATAAGCATTGCCTTTTTAAAGTCTTCTAAAGGGGAAGCTCTGCCACTGTTTTTGATTTTTTTTTTTAATGACCTAAGACTACAGGACATTCTTCTGAATATTCTCTTCACATGTTACTTTTTTCATCATGTTTCTCATAAAATTCTAACTCCTCTCTGGATCCACTTCTGAATTTTTATTTAGATGAGATGTTTATTCTGAATATCAATTAAAATGAATATATATATAGACAGCATCAATATGTCACTGTGGTAAGCAGAATTTTAAGATAGTCCACAAGTTTTCCATCCATTTGTGTATACACCTTATATAATCCGCTTCCCTTGGGGGCAAGAAGAACCTGTAAATATGACGGTATAACATTTCTATGATTAGGTTACTGTATTCCTTTAATAAGGTTAGCAAAACAAAACACCACAGACCGAGTGATTAAACACAAACATTTATTTTCTCATAGTTCCAGAAGGTAGAAGTCAGATCAAGTTGTTGACAGGTTTGGCTTTTTTTCTGAGCCCTCTTTCCTGCCTTGCAGATGGCCATGTTCCCTGGCTGTCTTCACGTGGTCATTTCTTTGTCTATGTGTGGTAGGGGTTTTAATCTATCATTTTTAAGAGAACATCAGGCATGTTGAATTACAGTCTATCCATATGACCTCATTGTACCTTAATTACCTCTTTAAATGCCCTATCTTCATATACAGTCACATTCTGAGGCACTTGGGGTTAGGAAATCAACATATGAATTTTGAGGTAACATAGTTCAGCCCATAACAGTTACTAACCAGTTGATATGGGTTTGTCACAAAGAAAATTATCTAGGTGAGTCCAGTCCTGGTGGCTCATGCTTGTAATCCCAGAACTTTGGAAGGCCAAGGTGGAAGGATCGCTTGAGGCCAGCAGAAATTTGAGACCAGCCTGGGTAACATAGCAAGACCCCATTTCTAAAGAAAAATAAAAAAGGAGATTATCTAGATACATAATCTAGATAAGCCCTTAAAAGGGACTTGTTTGTTCTAGAAGTCAGAGAGGACAAAAGTATGAGAGAGCCTGGGAGAGGCCTGGGAGAGAGCCTGCTTAGTGTTCACTTGATATATCCTCATGATAAAATTCAGGTCATTGAGTTTTGGCAAAAATACTACAGAAGTTTTGGCAAAAATATGACGGAAGTGTACTTCTTATATAAGAAGGCTCATGATGCTAAATTGTCCCATTGTTGAAGATGTTAACTTAATGTCCTTTGGGTTTTTTTGTTTATTTTTACTAAAAAGGATATTCTATTCTTTTTAATTAATAAATATTTTCAAGGGATGCTTTGAGGATATCCAAATACCTTATTTCTGATCATGTTTTCATGCACTTCATTTTTTACCATTAATGATTTTTTTTTAATTGAGATGGAGTTTCACTCTTGTCACCCAGGCTGGAATGCAGCGGCACAATCTCGGCTCTCTGCAACCTCCACTTCTCAGCTTCAGGTGATTCTCCTGCCTCAGCCTCCCAAGTAGACCATTAATGATTCTTATAAGAAACAATTACTACTGTAGTGTTTATCAAATGTTCCTTTGCTATTTTTCTATTGTTATTATGCCTTCTACATTCCCCTGTAAGGGAAGCTTTCCTTCACCACATTGGTTATTCAATTATTTCTTTATGTTAATATGAACTCATAATTATTCCACAGGTTATAAAGCATTGTCAATAGTATTTATTTTGTGTACTTCCATTGTTTTATCTTTGGCCACAGAAATCTCTTTCAAATTGGCTCCTATGTTCTGTTGACTTGCTTCTATCATTTTTTTGAGCACTTATTTAGTGTAAAATGTTACATGTTCATTATATACTTTGTGTGTCTCTGCCCTGAAATTAGCCATTTCTTCCAAGAAACTTGGTTCCATTTATTCAAAAATGTAATTTAGAAAACAAGTTATGGACAGTAGGTATGCTTATTGGGGCTGGGGTTTCATTGTTTCTAGGTTCTCTTAGAGCTGTGAATATTATGTATGTATGTGTGTTATACACACATAAATATGCATATATATAATGTGTATGTGTTTGCACACACTTCTATATCTATCTATGAAATATAGAAATAAAATCATTATTTCATACTGGCACCTGCAATTCTAATCCAACTCTACGCTATTTATTCTAGCTTTTCCCTTTTTTCTTATAATTATCCTTTTCTCTCATTTTACAGCTGCAGAGACTTAAGTCTGGGAGATTATCCAATGTCACAAGGCTGGTCAGTGATAAAGTCAGGATTCAAACCCAAGCTTTTTTTTTACTTCAAAGCCCAGGCTTTTAACCACCCGGCTTTGCTACCACTCTAAGAATAGAAGCAGAAACACTTCCCTGAAAACTCTGCCTCTAGATAACTTTGTGAAATTCAACAAATGACTTCAGGATCTCAACTCAAAATTAGATGGAAAAAATTGCCCAGTAGAAAACAGAAATTCTTTGGTTCTAATCTGTTTTTATAATGTCAGAGGTTCAAGTTTGTTCACCTTCAAAAATCTACAGTTAGTAGTTACTTCTTAAAAATGTATCTAAATGTAGTAGAGCCACAATGCAATTGTACTAAAACCACAGGACATAAAAGATATATTAATATTTACCTCGACCTTGAACAACAACAAAAGTTTGCAGAAAATGGAACTAACCACTTGAAGGAGTTTCTAGTCTTAAATTTTAGCCCTTCATGATTCAAGCCTCTGGTTTTTTTTCTTTTTTTAAATATTTCAGAAAACCATCTCCAGCCAAATAAGAATAGTAAAAAGTTTCCAGCAATATCCATGTTCATCTAAGTCCCTTGCCCTTAAGAAGTTTATAAATGGTGTCACTTACACTTTTTCTCTTTATTTCAGTTTTTATTCTTGAAATTGTTTGAGGGTTTATAAATAGTACACAGTGCCCCTTCAAATATTTTGTAATGCTTTCAGAAATGTGATTTACCAATTCAAGGAATGTTTTGCCAACTGAAGCTGATCATTTTGATAGAGAAGACATTTAGAATGCCATTTATGTACTCAAATGTATGTGTGTGTATATTAAGCTTAATATATATGTCACAAGTCATAAATCACATATGACATACCTCATGTAATTGAGACAGCAATCCCAAGTGAATTCCAGGAAAAAATAATCTGTTTGAACAGCAGTAATTTCTCATGTTATTACTTTCTACCTGTAGTGTGGTTCAATCTGATATTAGTGTCTTTTTCATTAGGAAAAAAGTTATTTTCTGGCTTTCAAAAATTGCTAGGTACTAATAAATAATGATTATTCATTATCCAATCTGTCAAAGATGTAGTTTAAATAAAAAACAATTTAAGGCCTTCTTTAAATAGATAGAGAAATGTAAAAAGCTGATGAAGAGGTAGAGTTAAAACACTTTTCAAAATTAATACCTCACAATGCCTCATAAAGCCATTTCATAAAGAAATGTCAACTCAGAACCTTTCTACTTTAAATAAAGGATGTATAATTATATCTATTATAAATAGGAGTTATAGAATTTTGTCACAAATTGTTAAAATTGACACCAAAAATGATACATATTTCCTCACAGATTTTGATTTTCTTACATTCGGCTGTAACCAATTCTTAGGAAACTTGTAAAAGAGCTGTTCTCACCAGATAAGTAAACTTATCTTTTTAATATAATTAATATAATCCCTGTATTTGCTGGAGTACAAAATAGGATCACAGCTGACACAATATCCATGGTAAATAAATCTAAATCTATATACCACTGACTGCGCTAAGCCCATTACTTCCTTCAACCATAAGTATATTAGAACCCCAGGAGTGCTTATAAAGCCCATGTGAGATTGAGTCTAGTTGATACTGCTTTGCAGAAAAGTGACCAGAAAGTTGGATCGACTCATTGAAATTCTCCTTCCCCAAAATGTTCCTGATGTTGCCTCTAGATGGTACTCTTGCTGAAGTAAGAATTCCAGAAGTCTGCTGCAAATATGCAACAACATATCAAACACATCTTAAGACCTGGAGACACAGGAGTTGGAAAGTAGGGCCTACTTACTGCAGTATCACTTCAATAAATGAGACTATTTGAATATTTTGAACTTGGGGATAACCAAAGCACAAGCTTTTGTTCTTTGTTGGTGGAAAGAGGAAAGAAAAGAGTAATCCCTCTTCCAGTATTGTTTGTTCAGTACATATCAGACAGCCCTTTTCCCTCAAGTTCACACTAAGTGACATAGTAGCTGAATATAGGAGCTTCCAGCCTGAGTTCTATATGCTGAGCACATAACCAGCCCTCACCTCACTGCAGAAAGAGGATCCCAGTTGTTGGTTAGCTCATAGTCCATTCAGCACATGCTAGAGGACCAGAAATCAGAATCTCTTTCTCAAGGCTGAAGGTTGCATCAACACTATGCATTTTCTTTGCTGCAAATCAAACCTACGTTTGATTGGTGTACCAGAAAGTGACAGGGAGAATGGAACCAAGTTAGAAAATACACTTCAGGATATTATCCAGGACAGCTTCCCCAGCCTAGCAAAATAAGCCAATATTCAACTTCAGGAAATACAGAGAACACCACAAAGATACTCCTAGAGAAGAACAACCCCAAGGTACATAATCATCAGATTCTCCAAGGTTGAAATGAAGGAAAAATGTTAAGGGCAGCCAGAGAGAAAGGTTGGGTTACCCTCAAAGGGAAACCCATAGGACTAACAGCAGATCCCTCTGCAGAAACCCTACAAGCCAGAAGAGAGTGAAGGCCAATATTCAACATTCTTAAAGAAAAGAATTTTCAACCCAGAATTTCATATCCAGCCAAACTAAGCTTCAAAAGTGAAGGAGAAATAAAATCCTTACAGACAAGCAAATGCTAAGAGATTTTGTCACCACCAGGCCTGCCTTACAAGAGTTCCTGAAGGAAGCACTAAATATGGAAAGGAAAAACCGGTACCAGCCACTGAAAAAACATACCAAAATGTAAAGACCATTGACACTATGAAGAAACTGCATCAACTAATGTGCAAAATAACCAGCTAGCATCATAATGACAGGATCAAATTCACACATAACAATATTAACTTTAAATGTAAATGGGCTGAAAGCCCCAATTAAAAGATACACACTGGCAAATTGGATAAAGAGTCAAGACCCATAGGTGTGCTGTATTCAGGAGACCTATCTCATGTGCAAAGACACACAGAGGCTCAAAATAAAGGCATGGAGGAATATTTACCAAGCAAATGGAAGGCAAAAAAAAAGCAGGGGTTGCAATCCTACTTTCTGATAAAACAGACTTTAAACCAACAAAAATCATTAAAAAACAAAGAAGAGCATTACATAATGGTAAAGGGATCAATGCAACAAGAAGAGAAACTATCCTAAATAGATATGCACCCAGTACAGGAGCACCGAGATTCATATAGCAAGTTCTTAGAGACCTACAAAAAGACTTAAATTCCCACACAATAATAGTGGTAGACATTAACACCCACTGTCAATATTAGACAGATCAATGAGACAGAAAATTAACAAGGATATTCAGGACTTCAACTCAGCTCTGGACCAAGTAGACCTAACAGACATGTACAGAACTCTCCACCCCAAATTAACAGAATATACATACTTCTCAGCAACACATTGTACTTTTTCTAAAAATTGACCACATAATTGAAAGTAAAACACTTCTCAGCAAATGCAAAAGAA